>NC_000011.10:51945798-52128614 GCF_000001405.40 Homo sapiens | reverse complement strand
GAAGCATTCTCAGAATGTTTCCTGTGATGTCTGCATTCAACTCACAGAGGTGAACAATGCTGCTGATGGAGCAGTTTTGAAACTCTCTTTCTTTGAATTCTGCAAGTGGATATGTGGACCCCTGTGAAGATTTCGTTGGAAACGGGTTCATCTTCACAGAAAAACACAACAAAGGGGCTACAGGCCCTATGCAAGTTTGAGATCCAATAGGGCTCTGTCTAGGTTTGATGTGAAGATATACCCGTTTCGAAGGAAGGCCACAAAGTGGTCCAAATATCCACTTGCAGATTCTACAAAAAGAGTGTTTGAAAGCTGAACTATGAAAGCAAGGTTCAACTCTGTGAGTTGAATGCAAACATCACAAAGAAGTTTCTCAGAATGCTTCCGTGTAGTTCTGGGAAGTTTATCCCGTTTCCAACGAAATCCTCAGAGTAGGTCCAAATATCCACTTGCAGATTCTACAGAAAGTGGGTTTGGAAACTGCGCCATCTAAAGCAATGTTCAGCTCTGTTAGTTCAATGCAATGATCACTAAGAATTGTCTGTGAATGCTTCCGTTTGGTTTTTAGATGAAGTTATTTCCTTTACTACAGTAGGCCTCAAAGCAGTCCAAATCTCCAATCGCAGATTCTACAAAAACATTGTTTACAACCTGCTCTATCTATAGGAATGTTCAACTCTGTGAGTCGAATGCAATCATCACAAAGTAGTTTCTGAGAATGCTTCCATCTAGTTTTTATGTGAAGATTTTCCTTTTCCACCGCAGGCCTCAAAGCCCTCCAAATGTCAACTTGCAGATTCTAGAAAAAGAGGGTTTCAGAGCTGCTCTGTCAAGAGGAAAGTTCAATTCCTGAAGTGGAACACAAACATCACAAAGCAGTTTCTGAGAATGCTCCTGTTTAGTTTTTCTGTGAAGATGAACCCGTTTCCAACGAAATCTTCACAGAGGTCCACATATCCACTTGCAGAATCCAAAGAAAGAGAGTTTCAAAACTGCTCCATCAGCAGGATTGTTCACCTCTGTGAGTTGAATGCAGTCATCACAGGAAACATTCTGAGAATGCTTCTGTCTAGGTTTGATGTGAAGATATACCCGTTTCGAAGGAAGGCCAGAAAGTGGTCCAAATATCCACTTGCAGATTCTACAAAAAGAGTGTTTGAAAGCTGAACTATGAAAGCAAGGTTCAACTCTGTGAGTTGAATGCAAACATCACAAAGAAGTTTCTCAGAATGCTTCCGTGTAGTTCTGGGAAGTTTATCCCGTTTCCAACGAAATCCTCAGGAGAGGTCCAAATATCCACTTGCAGATTCTACAGAAAGTGTGTTTGGAATCTGCTCCATCTAAAGGAATGTTCAGCTCTGTTAGTTCAATGCAATGATCACTAAGAATTGTCTGTGAATGCTTCCGTTTGGTTTTTAGATGAAGTTATTTCCTTTACTACAGTAGGCCTCAAAGCAGTCCAAATCTCCAATCACAGATTCTACAAAAAGATTGTTTACAACCTGCTCTATCTATAGGAATGTTCAACTCTGTGAGTCGAATGCAATCATCACAAAGTAGTTTCTGAGAATGCTTCCATCTAGTTTTTATGGGAAGATTTTCCTTTTCCACCACAGGCCTCAAAGCCCTCCAAATGTCCACTTGCAGATTCTAGAAAAAGAGGGTTTCAGAGCTGCTCTGTCAAGAGGAAAGTTCAATTCTTGAAGTGGAACACAAACATCACAAAGCAGTTTCTGAGAATGCTCCTGTTTAGTTTTTCTGTGAAGATGAACACGTTTCCAACGAAATCTTCACAGAGGTCCACATATCCACTTGCAGAATCCAAAGAAAGAGAGTTTCAAAACTGCTCCAACAGCAGGATTGTTCACCTCTGTGAGTTGAATGCAGTCATCACAGGAAACATTCTGAGAATGCTTCTGTCTAGGTTTGATGTGAAGATATACCCGTTTCGAAGGAAGGCCACAAAGTGGTCCAAATATCCACTTGCAGATTCTACAAAAAGAGTGTTTGAAAGCTGAACTATGAAAGCAAGGTTCAACTCTGTGAGTTGAATGCAAACATCAAAAAGAAGTTTCTCACAATGCTTCCGTGTAGTTCTGGGAAGTTTATCCCGTTTCCAACGAAATCCTCAGAGAGGTCCAAATATCCACTTGCAGATTCTACAGAAAGTGTGTTTGGAAACTGCTCCATCTAAAGGAATGTTCAGCTCTGTTAGTTCAATGCAATGATCACTAAGAATTATCTGTGAATGCTTCCGTTTGGTTTTTAGATGAAGTTATTTCCTTTACTACAGTAGGCCTCAAAGCAGTCCAAATCTCCAATCGCAGATTCTACAAAAAGATTGTTTACAACCTGCTCTATCTATAGGAATGTTCAACTCTGTGAGTCGAATGCAATCATCACAAAGTAGTTTCTGAGAATGCTTCCATCTAGTTTTTATGTGAAGGTTTTCCTTTTCCACCACAGGCCTCAAAGCCCTCCAAATGTCCACTTGCAGATTCTAGAATAACAGGGTTTCAGAGCTGCTCTGTCAAGAGGAAAGTTCAATTCCTGAAGTGGAACAAAAACATCACAAAGCAGTTTCTGAGAATGCTCCTGTTTAGTTTTTCTGTGAAGATGAACCCGTTTCCAACGAAATCTTCACAGACGTCCACATATCCACTTGCAGAATCCAAACAAAGAGAGTTTCAAAACTGCTCCATCAGCAGGATTGTTCACCTCTGTGAGTTGAATGCAGTCATCACAGGAAACATTCTGAGAATGCTTCTGTCTAGGTTTGATGTGAAGATATACCCGTTTCGAAGGAAGGCCACAAAGTGGTCCAAATATCCACTTGCAGATTCTACAAAAAGAGTGTTTGAAAGCTGAACTATGAAAGCAAGGTTCAACTCTGTGAGTTGAATGCAAACATCACAAAGAAGTTTCTCAGAATGCTTCCGTGTAGTTCTGGGAAGTTTAGCCCGTTTCCAACGAAATCCTCAGAGAGGTCCAAATATCCAGTGGCAGATTCTACAGAAAGTTTGTTTGGAACCTGCGCCATCTAAAGGAATGTTCAGCTCTGTTAGTTCAATCCAATGATCACTAAGAATTGTCTGTGAATGCTTCCGTTTGATTTTTAGATGAAGTTATTTCCTTTACTACAGTAGGCTTCAAAGCAGTCCAAATCTCCAATCGCAGATTCTACAAAAAGATTGTTTACAACCTGCTCTATCTATAGGAATGTTCAACTCTGTGAGTCGAATGCAATCATCACAAAGTAGTTTCTGAGAATGCTTCCATCTAGTTTTTATGTGAAGATTTTCCTTTTCCACCACAGGCCTCAAAGCCCTCCAAATGTCCACTTGCAGATTCTAGAATAAGAGGGTTTCAGAGCTGCTCTGTCAAGAGGAAAGTACAATTCTTGAAGTGGAACACAAACATAACAAAGCAGTTTCTGAGAATGCTCCTGTTTAGTTTTTCTGTGAAGATGAACCCGTTTCCAATGAAATCTTCACAGAGGTCCACATATCCACTTGCAGAATCCAAAGAAAGAGAGTTTCAAAACTGCTCCAACAGCAGGATTGTTCACCTCTGTGAGTTGAATGCAGTCATCACAGGAAACATTCTGAGAATGCTTCTGTCTAGGTTTGATGTGAAGATATACCCGTTTCGAAGGAAGGCCACAAAGTGGTCCAAATATCCACTTGCAGATTCTACAAAAAGAGTGTTTGAAAGCTGAACTATGAAAACAAGGTTCAACTCTGTGAGTTGAATGCAAACATCACAAAGAAGTTTCTCAGAATGCTTCCGTGTAGTTCTGGGAAGTTTATCCCGTTTCCAAAGAAATCCTCAGAGAGGTCCAAATATCCACTTGCAGATTCTACAGAAAGTGTGTTTGGAAACTGCGCCATCTAAAGGAATGTTCAGCTCTGTTAGTTGAATCCAATGATCACTAAGAATTCTCTGTGAATGCTTCCGTTTGGTTTTTAGATGAAGTTATTTCCTTTACTACAGTAGGCCTCAAAGCAGTCCAAATCTCCAATCGCAGATTCTACAAAAAGATTGTTTACAACCTGCTCTATCTATAGGAATGTTCAACTCTGTGAGTCGAATGCAATCATCACAAAGTAGTTTCTGAGAATGCTTCCATCTAGTTTTTATGTGAAGATTTTCCTTTTCCACCACAGGCCTCAAAGCCCTCCAAATGTCCACTTGCAGATTCTAGAATAAGAGGGTTTCAGAGCTGCTCTGTCAAGAGGAAAGTTCAATTCCTGAAGTGGAACACAAACATCACAAAGCAGTTTCTGAGAATGCTTCTGTTTAGTTTTTCTGTGAAGATGAACCCGTTTCCAACGAAATCTTCACAGAGGTCCACATATCCACTTGCAGAATCCAAAGAAAGAGAGTTTCAAAACTGCTCCATCAGCAGGATTGTTCACCTACTGTGAGTTGAATGCAGTCATCACAGGAAACATTCTGAGAATGCTTCTGTCTAGGTTTGATGTGAAGATATACCCGTTTCGAAGGAAGGCCACAAAGTGGTCCAAATATCCACTTGCAGATTCTACAAAAAGAGTGTTTGAAAGCTGAACTATGAAAGCAAGGTTCAACTCTGTGAGTTGAATGCAAACATCACAAAGAAGTTTCTCAGAATGCTTCCGTGTAGTTCTAGGAAGTTTATCCCGTTTCCAACGAAATCCTCAGAGAGGTCCAAATATCCACTTGCAGATTCTACAGAAAGTGTGTTTGGAAACTGCTCCATCTAAAGGAATGTTCAGCTCTGTTAGTTCAATCCAATGATCACTAAGAATTGTCTGTGAATGCTTCCGTTTGGTTTTTAGATGAAGTTATTTCCTTTACTACAGTAGGCCTCAAAGCAGTCCAAATTTCCAATCGCAGATTCTACAAAAAGATTGTTTACAACCTGCTCTATCTATAGGAATGTTCAACTCTGTGAGTCGAATGCAATCATCACAAAGTAGTTTCTGAGAATGCTTCCATCTAGTTTTTATGTGAAGATTTTCCTTTTCCACCACAGGCCTCAAAGCCCTCCAAATGTCCACTTGCAGATTCTAGAATAAGAGGGTTTCAGAGCTGCTCTGTCAAGAGGAAAGTTCAATTCCTGAAGTGGAACACAAACATAACAAAGCAGTTTCTGAGAATGCTTCTGTTTAGTTTTTCTGTGAAGATGAACCCGTTTCCAACGAAATCTTCACAGAGGTCCACATATCAACTTGCAGAATCCAAAGAAAGAGAGTTTCAAAACTGCTCCATCAACAAGATTGTTCACCTCTGTGAGTTGAATGCAGTCATCACAGGAAACATTCTGAGAATGCTTCTGTCTAGGTTTGATGTGAAGATATACCCGTTTCGAAGGAAGGCCACAAAGTGGTCCAAATATCCACTTGCAGATTCTACAAAAAGAGTGTTTGAAAGCTGAACTATGAAAGCAAGGTTCAACTCTGTGAGTTGAATGCAAACATCACAAAGAAGTTTCTCACAATGCTTCCGTGTAGTTCTGGGAAGTTTATCCCGTTTCCAACGAAATCCTCAGAGAGGTCCAAATATCCACTTGCAGATTCTACAGAAAGTGTGTTTGGAAACTGCGCCATCTAAAGGAATGTTCAGCTCTGTTAGTTCAATCCAATGATCACTAAGAATTGTCTGTGAATGCTTCCGTTTGGTTTTTAGATGAAGTTATTTCCTTTACTACAGTAGGCCTCAAAGCAGTCCAAATCTCCAATCGCAGATTCTACAAAAAGATTGTTTACAACCTGCTCTATCTATAGGAATGTTCAACTCTGTGAGTCGAATGCAATCATCACAAAGTAGTTTCTGAGAATGCTTCCATCTAGTTTTTATGTGAAGATTTTCCTTTTCCACCACAGGCCTCAAAGCCCTCCAAATGTCCACTTGCAGATTCTAGAAAAAGAGGGTTTCAGAGCTGCTCTGTCAAGAGGAAAGTTCAATTCTTGAAGTGGAACACAAACATCACAAAGTAGTTTCTGAGAATGCTTCTGTTTAGTTTTTCTGTGAAGATGAACCCGTTTCCAACGAAATCTTCACAGAGGTCCACATATCAACTTGCAGAATCCAAAGAGAGAGAGTTTCAAAAGTGCCCCATCAACAGGATTGTTCACCTCTGTGAGTTGAATGCAGTCATCACAGGAAACATTCTGAGAATGCTTCTGTCTAGGTTTGATGTGAAGATATACCCGTTTCGAAGGAAGGCCACAAAGTGGTCCAAATATCCACTTGCAGATTCTACAAAAAGAGTGTTTGAAAGCTGAACTATGAAAGCAAGGTTCAACTCTGTGAGTTGAATGCAAACATCACAAAGAAGTTTCTCACAATGCTTCCGTGTAGTTCTGGGAAGTTTATCCCGTTTCCAACGAAATCCTCAGAGAGGTCCAAATATCCACTTGCAGATTCTACAGAAAGTGTGTTTGGAAACTGCGCCATCTAAAGGAATGTTCAGCTCTGTTAGTTCAATGCAATGATCACTAAGGATTGTCTGTGAATGCTTCCGTTTGGTTTTTAGATGAAGTTATTTCCTTTACTACAGTAGGCCTCAAAGCAGTCCAAATCTCCAATCGCAGATTCTACAAAAACATTGTTTACAACCTGCTCTATCTATAGGAATGTTCAACTCTGTGAGTCGAATGCAATCATCACAAAGTAGTTTCTGAGAATGCTTCCATCTAGTTTTTATGGGAAGATTTTCCTTTTCCACCACAGGCCTCAAAGCCCTCCAAATGTCCACTTGCAGATTCTAGAAAAAGAGGGTTTCAGAGCTGCTCTGTCAAGAGGAAAGTTCAATTCTTGAAGTGGAACACAAACATCACAAAGCAGTTTCTGAGAATGCTTCTGTTTAGTTTTTCTGTGAAGATGAACCCGTTTCCAACGAAATCTTCACAGAGGTCCACATATCCACTTGCAGAATCCAAAGAAAGAGAGTTTCAAAACTGCTCCATCAGAAGGATTGTTCACCTCTGTGAGTTGAATGCAGTCATCACAGGAAACTTTCTGAGAATGCTTCTGTCTAGGTTTGATGTGAAGATATACCCGTTTCGAAGGAAGGCCACAAAGTGGTCCAAATATCCACTTGCAGATTCTACAAAAAGAGTGTTTGAAAGCTGAACTATGAAAGCAAGGTTCAACTCTGTGAGTTGAATGCAAACATCACAAAGAAGTTTCTCACAATGCTTCCGTGTAGTTCTGGGAAGGTTATCCCGTTTCCAACGAAATCCTCAGAGAAGTCCAAATATCCACTTGCAGATTCTACAGAAAGTGTGTTTGGAAACTGCGCCATCTAAAGGAATGTTCAGCTCTGTTAGTTCAATCCAATGATCACTAAGAATTGTCTGTGAATGCTTCCGTTTGGTTTTTAGATGAAGTTATTTCCTTTACTACAGTAGGCCTCAAAGCAGTCCAAATCTCCAATCGCAGATTCTACAAAAAGATTGTTTACAACCTGCTCTATCTATAGGAATGTTCAACTCTGTGAGTCGAATGCAATCATCACAAAGTAGTTTCTGAGAATGCTTCCATCTAGTTTTTATGTGAAGATTTTCCTTTTCCACCACAGGCCTCAAAGCCCTCCAAATGTCTACTTGCAGATTCTAGAAAAAGAGGGTTTCAGAGCTGCTCTGTCAAGAGGATAGTTCAATTCTTGAAGTGGAACACAAACATCACAAAGCAGTTTCTGAGAATGCTCCTGTTTAGTTTTTCTGTGAAGATGAACACGTTTCCAACGAAATCTTCACAGAGGTCCACATATGCACTAGCAGAATCCAAAGAAAGAGAGTTTCAAAACTGCTCCATCAACAGGATTGTTCACCTCTGTGAGTTGAATGCAGTCATCACAGATAACATTCTGAGAATGCTTCTGTCTAGGTTTGATGTGAAGATATACCCGTTTCGAAGGAAGGCCACAAAGTGGTCCAAATATCCACTTGCAGATTCTACAAAAAGAGTGTTTGAAAGCTGAACTATGAAAGCAAGGTTCAACTCTGTGAGTTGAATGCAAACATCACAAAGAAGTTTCTCAGAATGCTTCCGTGTAGTTCTGGGAAGTTTATCCCGTTTCCAACGAAATCCTCAGAGAGGTCCAAATATCCACTTGCAGATTCTACAGAAAGTGTGTTTGGAAACTGCGCCATCTAAAGGAATGTTCAGCTCTGTTAGTTCAATGCAATGATCACTAAGAATTGTCTGTGAATGCTTCCGTTTGGTTTTTAGATGAAGTTATTTCCTTTACTACAGTAGGCCTCAAAGCAGTCCAAATCTCCAATCGCAGATTCTACAAAAAGATTGTTTTCAACCTGCTCTATCTATAGGAATGTTCAACTCTGTGAGTCGAATGCAATCATCACAAAGTAGTTTCTGAGAATGCTTCCATCTAGTTTTTATGTGAAGATTTTCCTTTTCCACCACAGGCCTCAAAGCCCTCCAAATGTCCACTTGCAGATTCTAGAAAAAGAGGGTTTCAGAGCTGCTCTGTCAAGAGGAAAGTTCAATTCTTGAAGTGGAACACAAACATCACAAAGCAGTTTCTGAGAATGCTCCTGTTTAGTTTTTCTGTGAAGATGAACCCGTTTCCAACGAAATCTTCACAGAGGTCCACATATCCACTTGCAGAATCCAAAGAAAGAGAGTTTCAAAACTGCTCCATCAGCAGGATTGTTCACCTCTGTGAGTTGAATGCAGTCATCACAGGAAACATTCTGAGAATGCTTCTGTCTAGGTTTGATGTGAAGATATACCCGTTTCGAAGGAAGGCCACAAAGTGGTCCAAATATCCACTTGCAGGTTCTACAAAAAGAGTGTTTGAAAGCTGAACTATGAAAGCAAGGATCAACTCTGTGAGTTGAATGCAAACATCACAAAGAAGTTTCTCACAATGCTTCCCTGTAGTTCTGGGAAGTTTATCCCGTTTCCAACGAAATCCTCAGAGAAGTCCAAATATCCACTTGCAGATTCTACAGAAAGTGTGTTTGGAAACTGCTCCATCTAAAGGAATGTTCAGCTCTGTTAGTTCAATCCAATGATCACTAAGAATTGTCTGTGAATGCTTCCGTTTGGTTTTTAGATGAAGTTATTTCCTTTACTACAGTAGGCCTCAAAGCAGTCCAAATCTCCAATCGCAGATTCTACAAAAAGATTGTTTACAACCTGCTCTATCTATACGAATGTTCAACTCTGTGAGTCGAATGCAATCATCACGAAGTAGTTTCTGAGAATGCTTCCATCTAGTTTTTATGGGAAGATTTTCCTTTTCCACCACAGCCCTCAAAGCCCTCCAAATGTCCACTTGCAGATTCTAGAAAAAGAGGGTTTCAGAGCTCCTCTTTCAAGAGGAAAGTTCAATTCTTGAAGTGGAACACAAACATCACAAAGCAGTTTCTGAGAATGCTTCTGTTTAGTTTTTCTGTGAAGATGAACCCGTTTCCAACGAAATCTTCACAGAGGTCCACATATCCACTTGCAGAATCCAAAGAAAGAGAGTTTCAAAACTGCTCCATCAGCAGGATTGTTCACCTCTGTGAGTTGAATGCAGTCATCACAGGAAACATTCTGAGAATGCTTCTGTCTAGGTTTGATGTGAAGATATACCCGTTTCGAAGGAAGGCCACAAAGTTGTCAAATATCCACTTGCGGATCCTACAAAAAGAGTGTTTGAAAGCTGAACTATGAAAGCAAGGTTCAACTCTGTGAGTTGAATGCAAACATCACAAAGAAGTTTCTCAGAATGCTTCCGTGTAGTTCTGGGAAGTTTATCCCGTTTCCAACGAAATCCTCAGAGAGGTCCAAATATCCACTTGCAGATTCTACAGAAAGTGTGTTTGGAAACTGCTCCATCTAAAGGAATGTTCAGCTCTGTTAGTTCAATCCAATGATCACTAAGAATTGTCTGTGAATGCTTCCGTTAGGTTTTTAGATGAAGTTATTTCCTTTACTACAGTAGACCTCAAAGCAGTCCAAATCTCCAATCGCAGATTCTACAAAAAGATTGTTTACAACCTGCTCTATCTATAGGAATGTTCAACTCTGTGAGTCGAATGCAATCATCACAAAGTAGTTTCTGAGAATGCTTCCATCTAGTTTTTATGGGAAGATTTTCCTTTTCCACCACAGGCCTCAAAGCCCTCCAAATGTCCACTTGCAGATTCTAGAAAAAGAGGGTTTCAGAGCTGCTCTGTCAAGAGGAAAGTTCAATTCTTGAAGTGGAACACAAACATCACAAAGCAGTTTCTGAGAATGCTTCTGTTTAGTTTTTCTGTGAAAATGAACCCGTTTCCAACGAAATCTTCACAGAGGTCCACATATCCACTTGCAGAATCCAAAGAAAGAGAGATTCAAAACTGCTCCATCAACAGGATTGTTCACCTCTGTGAGTTGAATGCAGTCATCACAGGAAACATTCTGAGAATGCTTCTGTCTAGGTTTGATGTGAAGATATACCCGTTTCGAAGGAAGGCCACAAAGTGGTCCAAATATCCACTTGCAGATTCTACAAAAAGAGTGTTTGAAAGCTGAACTATGAAAGCAAGGTTCAACTCTGTGAGTTGAATGCGAACATCACAAAGAAGTTTCTCACAATGCTTCCGTGTAGTTCTGGGAAGTTTATCCCGTTTCCTACGATATCCTCAGAGAAGTCCAAATATCCACTTGCAGATTCTACAGAAAGTGTGTTTGGAAACTGCTCCATCTAAAGGAATGTTCAGCTCTGTTAGTTCAATCCAATGATCACTAAGAATTGTCTGTGAATGCTTCCGTTTGGTTTTTAGATGAAGTTATTTCCTTTACTACAGTAGGCCTCAAAGCAGTCCAAATCTCCAATCGCAGATTCTACAAAAAGATTGTTTACAACCTGCTCTATCTATAGGAATGTTCAACTCTGTGAGTCGAATGCAATCATCACAAAGTAGTTTCTGAGAATGCTTCCATCTAGTTTTTCTGTGAAGAGTTTCCTTTTCCACCACAGGCCTCAAAGCCCTCCAAATGTCCACTTGCAGATTCTAGAAAAAGAGGGTTTCAGAGCTGCTCTGTCGAGAGGAAAGTTCAATTCTTGAAGTGGAACACAAACATCACAAAGCAGTTTCTGAGAATGCTCCTGTTTAGTTTTTCTGTGAAGATGAACCCGTTTCCAACGAAATCTTCACAGAGGTCCACATATCCACTTGCAGAATCCAAAGAAAGAGAGTTTCAAAACTGCTCCATCAACAGGATTGTTCAACTCTGTGAGTTGAATGCAGTCATCACAGGAAACATTCTGAGAATGCTTCTGTCTAGGTTTGATGTGAAGATATACCCGTTTCGAAGGAAGGCCACAAAGTGGTCCAAATATCCACTTGCAGATTCTACAAAAAGAGTGTTTGAAAGCTGAACTATGAAAGCAAGGTTCAACTCTGTGAGTTGAATGCAAACATCACAAAGAAGTTTCTCACAATGCTTCCGTGTAGTTCTGGGAAGTTTATCCCGTTTCCAACGAAATCCTCAGAGAAGTCCAAATATCCACTTGCAGATTCTACAGAAAGTGGGTTTGGAAACTGCTCCATCTAAAGGAATGTTCAGCTCTGTTAGTTCAATCCAATGATCACTAAGAATTGTCTGTGAATGCTTCCGTTTGGTTTTTAGATGAAGTTATTTCCTTTACTACAGTAGGCCTCAAAGCAGTCCAAATCTCCAATCGCAGATTCTACAAAAAGATTGTTTACAACCTGCTCTATCTATAGGAATGTTCAACTCTGTGAGTCGAATGCAATCATCACAAAGAAGTTTCTGAGAATGCTTCCATCTAGTTTTTATGTGAAGATTTTCCTTTTCCACCACAGGCCTCAAAGCCCTCCAAATGTCCACTTGCAGATTCTAGAAAAAGAGGGTTTCAGAGCTGCTCTGTCAAGAGGAAAGTTCAATTCTTGAAGTGGAACACAAACATCACAAAGCAGTTTCTGAGAATGCTCCTGTTTAGTTTTTCTGTGAAGATGAACCCGTTTCCAACGAAATCTTCACAGAGGTCCACATATCCACTTGCAGAATCCAAAGAAAGAGAGTTTCAAAACTGCTCCATCAGCAGGATTGTTCACCTCTGTGAGTTGAATGCAGTCATCACAGGAAACATTCTGAGAATGCTTCTGTCTAGGTTTGATGTGAAGATATACCCGTTTCGAAGGAAGGCCCCAAAGTGGTCCAAATATCCACTTGCAGATTCTACAAAAAGAGTGTTTGAAAGCTGAACTATGAAAGCAAGGTTCAACTCTGTGAGTTGAATGCAAACATCACAAAGAAGTTTCTCAGAATGCTTCCGTGTAGTTCTGGGAAGTTTTCCCGTTTCCAACGAAATCCTCAGAGAAGTCCAAATATCCACTTGCAGATTCTACAGAAAGTGTGTTTGGAAACTGCTCCATCTAAAGGAATGTTCAGCTCTGTTAGTTCAATCCAATGATCACTAAGAATTGTCTGTGAATGCTTCCGTTTGGTTTTTAGATGAAGTTATTTCCTTTACTACAGTAGGCCTCAAAGCAGTCCAAATCTCCAATCGCAGATTCTACAAAAAGATTGTTTACAACCTGCTCTATCTATAGGAATGTTCAACTCTGTGAGTCGAATGCAATCATCACGAAGTAGTTTCTGAGAATGCTTCCATCTAGTTTTTATGGGAAGATTTTCCTTTTCCACCACAGGCCTCAAAGCCCTCCAAATGTCCACTTGCAGATTCTAGAAAAAGAGGGTTTCAGAGCTGCTCTGTCAAGAGGAAAGTTCAATTCTTGAAGTGGAACACAAACATCGCAAAGCAGTTTACTGAGAATGCTTCTGTTTAGTTTTTCTGTGAAGATGAACCCGTTTCCAACGAAATCTTCACAGAGGTCCACATATCCACTTGCAGAATCCAAAGAAAGAGAGTTTCAAAACTGCTCCATCAGCAGGATTGTTCACCTCTGTGAGTTGAATGCAGTCATCACAGGAAACATTCTGAGAATGCTTCTGTCTAGGTTTGATGTGAAGATATACCCGTTTCGAAGGAAGGCCACAAAGTGGTCCAAATATCCACTTGCAGATTCTACAAAAAGAGTGTTTGAAAGCTGAACTATGAAAGCAAGGTTCAACTCTGTGAGTTGAATGCAAACATCACAAAGAAGTTTCTCACAATGCTTCCGTGTAGTTCTGGGAAGTTTATCCCGTTTCCAACGAAATCCTCAGAGAAGTCCAAATATCCACTTGCAGATTCTACAGAAAGTGTGTTTGGAAACAGCTCCATCTAAAGGAATGTTCAGCTCTGTTAGTTCAATCCAATGATCACTAAGAATTGTCTGTGAATGCTTCCGTTTGGTTTTTAGATGAAGTTATTTCCTTTACTACAGTAGGCCTCAAAGCAGTCCAAATCTCCAATCGCAGATTCTACAAAAAGATTGTTTACAACCTGCTCTATCTATAGGAATGTTCAACTCTGTGAGTCGAATGCAATCATCACAAAGTAGTTTCTGAGAATGCTTCCATCTAGTTTTTATGTGAAGATTTTCCTTTTCCACCACAGGCCTCAAAGCCCTCCAAATGTCCACTTGCAGATTCTAGAAAAAGAGGGTTTCAGAGCTGCTCTGTCAAGAGGAAAGTTCAATTCTTGAAGTGGAACACAAACATCACAAAGCAGTTTCTGAGAATGCTTCTGTTTAGTTTTTCTGTGAAGATGAACCCGTTTCCAACGAAATCTTCACAGTGGTCCACATATCAACTTGCAGAATCCAAAGAAAGAGAGTTTCAAAACTGCTCCATCAACAGGATTGTTCACCTCTGTGAGTTGAATGCAGTCATCACAGGAAACATTCTGAGAATGCTTCTGTCTAGGTTTGATGTGAAGATATACCCGTTTCGAAGGAAGGCCACAAAGTGGTCCAAATATCCACTTGCAGATTCTACAAAAAGAGTGTTTGAAAGCTGAACTATGAAAGCAAGGTTCAACTCTGTGAGTTGAATGCAAACATCACAAAGAAGTTTCTCACAATGCTTCCGTGTAGTTCTGGGAAGTTTATCCCTTTTCCAACGAAATCCTCAGAGAGGTCCAAATATCCACTTGCAGATTCTACAGAAAGTGTGTTTGGAAACTGCGCCATCTAAAGGAATGTTCAGCTCTGTTAGTTCAATGCAATGATCACTAAGAATTGTCTGTGAATGCTTCCGTTTGGTTTTTAGATGAAGTTATTTCCTTTACTACAGTAGGCCTCAAAGCAGTCCAAATCTCCAATCGCAGATTCTACAAAAAGATTGTTTACAACCTGCTCTATCTATAGGAATGTTCAACTCTCTGAGTCGAATGCAATCATCACAAAGTAGTTTCTGAGAATGCTTCCATCTAGTTTTTATGGGAAGATTTTCCTTTTCCACCACAGGCCTCAAAGCCCTCCAAATGTCCACTTGCAGATTCTAGAAAAAGAGGGTTTCAGAGCTGCTCTGTCAAGAGGAAAGTTCAATTCTTGAAGTGGAACACAAACATCACAAAGCAGTTTCTGAGAATGCTCCTGTTTAGTTTTTCTGTGAAGATGAACCCGTTTCCAACGAAATCTTCACAGAGGTCCACATATCCACTTGCAGAATCCAAAGAAAGAGAGTTTCAAAACTGCTCCATCAGCAGGATTGTTCACCTCTGTGAGTTGAATGCAGTCATCACAGGAAACATTCTGAGAATGCTTCTGTCTAGGTTTGATGTGAAGATATACCCGTTTCGAAGGAAGGCCACAAAGTGGTCCAAATATCCACTTGCAGATTCTACAAAAAGAGTGTTTGAAAGCTGAACTATGAAAGCAAGGTTCAACTCTGTGAGTTGAATGCAAACATCACAAAGAAGTTTCTCAGAATGCTTCCGTGTAGTTCTGGGAAGTTTATCCCGTTTCCAACGAAATCCTCAGAGAGGTCCAAATATCCACTTGCAGATTCTACAGAAAGTGTGTTTGGAAACTGCGCCATCTAAAGGAATATTCAGCTCTGTTAGTTCAATGCAATGATCACTAAGAATTGTCTGTGAATGCTTCCGTTTGGCTTTTAGATGAAGTTATTTCCTTTACTACAGTAGGCCTCAAAGCAGTCCAAATCTCCAATCGCAGATTCTACAAAAAGATTGTTTACAACCTGCTCTATCTATAGGAATGTTCAACTCTGTGAGTCGAATGCAATCATCACAAAGTAGTTTCTGAGAATGCTTCCATCTAGTTTTTATGTGAAGATTTTCCTTTTCCACCACAGGCCTCAAAGCCCTCCAAATGTCCACTTGCAGATTCTAGAAAAAGAGGGTTTCAGAGCTGCTCTGTCAAGAGGAAAGTTCAATTCTTGAAGTGGAACACAAACATCACAAAGCAGTTTCTGAGAATGCTCCTGTTTAGTTTTTCTGTGAAGATGAACCCGTTTCCAACGAAATCTTCACAGAGGTCCACATATCCACTTGCAGAATCCAAAGAAAGAGAGTTTCAAAACTGCTCCATCAGCAGGATTGTTCACCTCTGTGAGTTGAATGCAGTCATCACAGGAAACATTCTGAGAATGCTTCTGTCTAGGTTTGATGTGAAGATGTACCCGTTTCAAAGGAAGGCCACAAAGTGGTCCAAATATCCACTTGCAGATTCTACAAAAAGAGTGTTTGAAAGCTGAACTATGAAAGCAAGGTTCAACTCTGTGAGTTGAATGCAAACATCAGAAAGATGATTCTCACAATGCTTCCGTGTAGTTCTGGGAAGTTTGTCCTGTTTCCAACGAAATCCTCCCAGAGGTCCAAATATCCAGTTGCAGATTCTACAGAAAGTGTGTTTGGAAGCTGCGCCATCTAAAGGAATGTTCAGCTCTGTTAGTTCAATCCAATGATCACTAAGAATTGTCTTTGAATGCTTCCGTTTGGTTTTTAGATGAAGTTATTTCCTTTACTACAGTAGGCCTCAAAGCAGTCCAAATCTCCAATCGCAGATTCTACAAAAAGATTGTTTACAACCAGCTCTATCTATAGGAATGTTCAACTCTGTGAGTCGAATGCAATCATCACAAAGTAGTTTCTGAGAATGCTTCCATCTAGTTTGTATGTGAAGATTTTCCTTTTCCACCACAGGCCTCAAAGCCCTCCAAATGTCCACTTGCAGATTCTAGAAAAAGAGGGTTTCAGAGCTGCTCTGTCAAGAGGAAAGTTCAATTCTTGAAGTGGAACACAAACATCACAAAGCAGTTTCTGAGAATGCTCCTGTTTAGTTTTTCTGTGAAGATGAACCCGTTTCCAACGAAATCTTCACAGAGGTCCACATATCCACTTGCAGAATCCAAAGAAAGAGAGTTTCAAAACTGCTCCATCAGCAGGATTGTTCACCTCTGTGAGTTGAATGCAGTCATCACAGGAAACATTCTGAGAATGCTTCTGTCTAGGTTTGATGTGAAGATATACCCGTTTCGAAGGAAGGCCACAAAGTGGTCCAAATATCCACTTGCAGATTCTACAAAAAGAGTGTTTGAAAGCTGAACTATGAAAGCAAGGTTCAACTCTGTGAGTTGAATGCAAACATCACAAAGAAGTTTCTCAGAATGCTTCCGTGTAGTTCTGGGAAGTTTATCCCGTTTCCAACGAAATCCTCAGAGAAGTCCAAATATCCACTTGCAGATTCTACAGAAAGTGTGTTTGGAAACTGCTCCATCTAAAGGAATGTTCAGCTCTGTTAGTTCAATCCAATGATCACTAAGAATTGTCTGTGAATGCTTCCGTTTGGTTTTTAGATGAAGTTATTTCCTTTACTACAGTAGGCCTCAAAGCAGTCCAAATCTCCAATCGCAGATTCTACAAAAAGATTGTTTTCAACCATGCTCTATCTATAGGAATGTACAACTCTGTGAGTCGAATGCAATCATCACAAAGTAGTTTCTGAGAATGCTTCCATCTAGTTTTTATGTGAAGATTTTCCTTTTCCACCACAGGCCTCAAAGCCCTCCAAATGTCCACTTGCAGATTCTAGAAAAAGAGGGTTTCAGAGCTGCTCTGTCAAGAGGAAAGTTCAATTCCTGAAGTGGAACACAAACATCACAAAGCAGTTTCTGAGAATGCTTCTGTTTAGTTTTTCTGTGAAGATGAACCCGTTTCCAACGAAATCTTCACAGAGGTCCACATATCCACTTGCAGAATCCAAAGAAAGAGAGTTTCAAAACTGCTCCATCAACAGGATTGTTCACCTCTGTGAGTTGAATGCAGTCATCACAGGAAACATTCTGAGAATGCTTCTGTCTAGGTTTGATGTGAAGATATACCCGTTTCGAAGGAAGGCCACAAAGTGGTCCAAATATCCACTTGCAGATCCTACAAAAAGAGTGTTTGAAAGCTGAACTATGAAAGCAAGGTTCAACTCTGTGAGTTGAATGCAAACATCAAAAAGAAGTTTCTCAGAATGCTTCCGTGTAGTTCTGGGAAGTTTATCCCTTTTCCAACGAAATCCTCAGAGAGGTCCAAATATCCACTTGCAGAATCTACAGAAAGTGTGTTTGGAAACTGCTCCATCTAAAGGAATGTTCAGCTCTGTTAGTTCAATCCAATGATCACTAAGAATTGTCTGTGAATGCTTCCGTTTGGTTTTTAGATGAAGTTATTTCCTTTACTACAGTAGGCCTCAAAGCAGTCCAAATCTCCAATCGCAGATTCTACAAAAAGATTGTTTACAACCTGCTCTATCTATAGGAATGTTCAACTCTGTGAGTCGAATGCAATCATCACAAAGTAGTTTCTGAGAATGCTTCCATCTAGTTTTTATGTGAAGATTTTCCTTTTCCACCACAGGCCTCAAAGCCCTCCAAATGTCCACTTGCAGATTCTAGAAAAAGAGGGTTTCAGAGCTGCTCAGTCAAGAGGAAAGTTCAATTCCTGAAGTGGAACACAAACATCACAAAGCAGTTTCTGAGAATGCTTCTGTTTAGTTTTTCTGTGAAGATGAACCCGTTTCCAACGAAATCTTCACAGAGGTCCACATATCCACTTGCAGAATCCAAAGAAAGAGAGTTTCAAAACTGCTCCATCAACAGGATTGTTCACCTCTGTGAGTTGAATGCAGTCATCACAGGAAACATTCTGAGAATGCTTCTGTCTAGGTTTGATGTGAAGATATACCCGTTTCGAAGGAAGGCCACAAAGTGGTCCAAATATCCACTTGCAGATTCTACAAAAAGAGTGTTTGAAAGCTGAACTATGAAAGCAAGGTTCAACTCTGTGAGTTGAATGCAAACATCACAAAGAAGTTTCTCACAATGCTTCCGTGTAGTTCTGGGAAGTTTATCCCGTTTCCAACGAAATCCTCAGAGAGGTCCAAATATCCACTTGCAGATTCTACAGAAAGTGTGTTTGGAAACTGCGCCATCTAAAGGAATGTTCAGCTCTGTTAGTTCAATGCAATGATCACTAAGAATTGTCTGTGAATGCTTCCGTTTGGTTTTTAGATGAAGTTATTTCCTTTACTACAGTTGGCCTCAAAGCAGTCCAAATCTCCAATCGCAGATTCTACAAAAAGATTGTTTACAACCTGCTCTATCTATAGGAATGTTCAACTCTGTGAGTCGAATGCAATCATCACAAAGTAGTTTCTGAGAATGCTTCCATCTAGTTTTTATGTGAAGATTTTCCTTTTCCACCACAGGCCTCAAAGCCCTCCAAATGTCCACTTGCAGATTCTAGAATAAGAGGGTTTCAGAGCTGCTCTGTCAAGAGGAAAGTTCAATTCCTGAAGTGGAACACAAACATCACAAAGCAGTTTCTGAGAATACTCCTGTTTAGTTTTTCTGTGAAGATGAACCCGTTTCCAACGAAATCTTCACAGAGGTCCACATATCCACTTGCAGAATCCAAAGAAAGAGAGTTTCAAAACTGCTCCATCAGAAGGATTGTTCACCTCTGTGAGTTGAATGCAGTCATCACAGGAAACATTCTGAGAATGCTTCTGTCTAGGTTTGATGTGAAGATATACCCGTTTCGAAGGAAGGCCACAAAGTGGTCCAAATATCCACTTGCAGATTCTACAAAAAGAGTGTTTGAAAGCTGAACTATGAAAGCAAGGTTCAACTCTGTGAGTTGAATGCAAACATCACAAAGAAGTTTCTCACAATGCTTTTCCGTGTAGTTCTGGGAAGTTTATCCCGTTTCCAACGAAATCCTCAGAGAAGTCCAAATATCCACTTGCAGATTCTACAGAAAGTGTGTTTGGAAACTGCTCCATCTAAAGGAATGTTCAGCTCTGTTAGTTCAATCCAATGATCACTAAGAATTGTCTGTGAATACTTCCGTTTGGTTTTTAGATGAAGTTATTTCCTTTACTACAGTAGGCCTCAAAGCAGTCCAAATCTCCGATCTCAGATTCTACAAAAAGATTGTTTACAACCTGCTCTATCTTTAGGAATGTTCAACTCTGTGAGTCGAATGCAATCATCACAAAGTAGTTTCTGAGAATGCTTCCATCTAGTTTTTATGTGAACATTTTCCTTTTCCACCACAGGCCTCAAAGCCCTCCAAATGTCAACTTGCAGATTCTAGAATAAGAGGGTTTCAGAGCTGCTCTGTCAAGAGGAAAGTTCAATTCCTGAAGTGGAACACAAACATGACAAAGGAGTTTCTGAGAATGCTTCTGTTTAGTTTTTCTGTGAAGATGAACCCGTTTCCAACGAAATCTTCACAGAGGTCCACATATCCACTTGCAGAATCCAAAGAAAGAGAGTTTCAAAACTGCTCCATCAGCAGGATTGTTCACCTCTGTGAGTTGAATGCAGTCATCACAGGAAACATTCTGAGAATGCTTCTGTCTAGGTTTGATGTGAAGATATACCCGTTTCGAAGGAAGGCCACAAAGTGGTCCAAATATCCACTTGCAGATTCTACAAAAAGAGTGTTTGAAAGCTGAACTATGAAAGCAAGGTTCAACTCTGTGAGTTGAATGCAAACATCACAAAGAAGTTTCTCACAATGCTTCCGTGTAGTTCTGGGAAGTTTATCCCGTTTCCAACGAAATCCTCAGAGAAGTCCAAATATCCACTTGCAGATTCTACAGAAAGTGTGTTTGGAAACTGCTCCATCTAAAGGAATGTTCAGCTCTGTTAGTTCAATGCAATGATCACTAAGAATTGTCTGTGAATGCTTCCGTTTGGTTTTTAGATGAAGTTATTTCCTTTACTACAGTAGGCCTCAAAGCAGTCCAAATCTCCAATCGCAGATTCTACAAAAAGATTGTTTACAACCTGCTCTATCTATAGGAATGTTCAACTCTGTGAGTCGAATGCAATCATCACAAAGTAGTTTCTGAGAATGCTTCCATCTAGTTTTTATGTGAAGATTTTCCTTTTCCACCACAGGCCTCAAAGCCCTCCAAATGTCCACTTGCAGATTCTAGAATAAGAGGGTTGCAGAGCTGCTCTGTCAAGAGGAAAGTTCAATTCCTGAAGTGGAACACAAACATCACAAAGCAGTTTCTGAGAATGCTTCTGTTTAGTTTTTCTGTGAAGATGAACCCGTTTCCAACGAAATCTTCACAGAGGTCCACATATCCACTTGCAGAATCCAAAGAAAGAGAGTTTCAAAACTGCTCCATTAGCCGGATTGTTCACCTCTGTGAGTTGAATGCAGTCATCACAGGAAACATTCTGAGAATGCTTCTGTCTAGGTTTGATGTGAAGATATACCCGTTTCGAAGGAAGGCCACAAAGTGGTCCAAATATCCACTTGCAGATTCCACAAAAAGAGTGTTTGAAAGCTGAACTATGAAAGCAAGGTTCAACTCTGTGAGTTGAATGCAAACATCACAAAGAAGTTTCTCAGAATGCTTCCGTGTAGTTCTGGGAAGTTTATCCCGTTTCCAACGAAATCCTCAGAGAAGTCCAAATATCCACTTGCACATTCTACAGAAAGTGTGTTTGGAAACTGCTCCATCTAAAGGAATGTTCAGCTCTGTTAGTTCAATGCAATGATCACTAAGAATTGTCTGTGAATGCTTCCGTTTGGTTTTTAGATGAAGTTATTTCCTTTACTACAGTAGGCCTCAAAGCAGTCCAAATCTCCAATCGCAGATTCTACCAAAAGGTTGTTTACAACCTGCTCTATCTATAGGAATGTTCAACTCTGTGAGTCGAATGCAATCATCACAAAGTAGTTTCTGAGAATGCTTCCATCTAGTTTTTATGTGAAGATTTTCCTTTTCCACCACAGGCCTCAAAGCCCTCCAAATGTCCACTTGCAGATTCTAGAATAAGAGGGTTTCAGAGCTGCTCTGTCAAGAGGAAAGTTCAATTCCTGAAGTGGAACACAAACATCACAAAGCAGTTTCTGAGAATGCTTCTGTTTAGTTTTTCTGTGAAGATGAACCCGTTTCCAACGAAATCTTCACAGAGGTCCACATATCCACTTGCAGAATCCAAAGAAAGTTTCAAAACTGCTCCATCAACAGGATTGTTCACCTCTGTGAGTTGAATGCAGTCATCACAGGAAACATTCTGAGAATGCTTCTGTCTAGGTTTGATGTGAAGATATACCCGTTTCGAAGGAAGGCCACAAAGTGGTCCAAATATCCACTTGCAGATTCTACAAAAAGAGTGTTTGAAAGCTGAACTATGAAAGCAAGGTTCAACTCTGTGAGTTGAATGCAAACATCACAAAGAAGTTTCTCAGAATGCTTCCGTGTAGTTCTGGGAAGTTTATCCCGTTTCCAAAGAAATCCTCAGAGAGGTCCAAATATCCACTTGCAGATTCTACAGAAAGTGTGTTTGGAAACTGCTCCATCTAAAGGAATGTTCAGCTCTGTTAGTTCAATCCAATGATCACTAAGAATTGTCTGTGAATGCTTCCGTTTGGTTTTTAGATGAAGTTATTTCCTTTACTACAGTAGGCCTCAAAGCAGTCCAAATCTCCAATCGCAGATTCTACAAAAACATTGTTTACAACCTGCTCTATCTATAGGAATGTTCAACTCTGTGAGTCGAATGCAATCATCACAAAGTAGTTTCTGAGAATGCTTCCATCTAGTTTTTATGTGAAGATTTTCCTTTTCCACCACAGGCCTCAAAGCCCTCCAAATGTCCACTTGCAGATTCTAGAAAAAGAGGGTTTCAGAGCTGCTCTGTAAAGAGGAAAGTTCAACTCTTGAAGTGGAACACAAACATCACAAAGTAGTTTCTGAGAATGCTTCTGTTTAGTTTTTCTGTGAAGATGAACCCGTTTCCAACGAAATCTTCACAGAGGTCCACATATCAACTTGCAGAATCCAAAGAAAGAGAGTTTCAAAAGTGCTCCATCAACAGGATTGTTCACCTCTGTGAGTTGAATGCAGTCATCACAGGAAACATTCTGAGAATGCTTCTGTCTATGTTTGATGTGAAGATATACCCGTTTCGAAGGAAGGCCACAAAGTGGTCCAAATATCCACTTGCAGATTCTACAAAAAGAGTGTTTGAAAGCTGAACTATGAAAGCAAGGTTCAACTCTGTGAGTTGAATGCAAACATCACAAAGAAGTTTCTCAGAATGCTTCCGTGTAGTTCTGGGAAGTTTATCCCGTTTCCAACGAAATCCTCAGAGAAGTCCAAATATCCACTTGCAGATTCTACAGAAAGTGTGTTTGGAAACTGCGCCATCTAAAGGAATGTTCAGCTCTGTTAGTTCAATGCAATGATCACTAAGAATTGTCTGTGAATGCTTCCGTTTGGTTTTTAGATGAAGTTATTTCCTTTACTACAGTAGGCCTCAAAGCAGTCCAAATCTCCAATCGCAGATTCTACAAAAAGATTGTTTACAACCTGCTCTATCTATAGGAATGTTCAACTCTGTGAGTCGAATGCAATCATCACAAAGTAGTTTCTGAGAATGCTTCCATCTAGTTTGTATGTGAAGATTTTCCTTTTCCACCACAGGCCTCAAAGCCCTCCAAATGTCCACTTGCAGATTCTAGAAAAAGAGGGTTTCAGAGCTGCTCTGTCAAGAGGAAAGTTCAATTCTTGAAGTGGAACACAAACATCACAAAGCAGTTTCTGAGAATGCTTCTGTTTAGTTTTTCTGTGAAGATGAACCCGTTTCCAACGAAATCTTCACAGAGGTCCACATATCCACTTGCAGAATCCAAAGAAAGAGAGTTTCAAAACTGCTCCATCAACAGGATTGTTCACCTCTGTGAGTTGAATGCAGTCATCACAGGAAACATTCTGAGAATGCTTCTGTCTAGGTTTGATGTGAAGATATACCCGTTTCGAAGGAAGGCCACAAAGTGGTCCAAATATCCACTTGCAGATTCTACAAAAAGAGTGTTTGAAAGCTGAACTATGAAAGCAAGGTTCAACTCTGTGAGTTGAATGCAAACATCACAAAGAAGTTTCTCAGAATGCTTCCCTGTAGTTCTGGGAAGTTTATCCCGTTTCCAACGAAATCCTCAGAGAAGTCCAAATATCCACTTGCAGATTCTACAGAAAGTGTGTTTGGAAACTGCTCCATCTAAAGGAATGTTCAGCTCTGTTAGTTCAATCCAATGATCACTAAGAATTGTCTGTGAATGCTTTCCGTTTGGTTTTTAGATGAAGTTATTTCCTTTACTACAGTAGGCCTCAAAGCAGTCCAAATTTCCAATCGCAGATTCTACAAAAAGATTGTTTACAACCTGCTCTATCTATAGGAATGTTCAACTCTGTGAGTCGAATGCAATCATCACAAAGTAGTTTCTGAGAATGCTTCCATCTAGTTTTTATGTGAAGATTTTCCTTTTCCACCACAGGCCTCAAAGCCCTCCAAATGTCCACTTGCAGATTCTAGAATAAGAGGGTATCAGAGCTGCTCTGTCAACAGGAAAGTTCAATTCTTGAAGTGGAACACAAACATCACAAAGCAGTTTCTCAGACTGCTTCTGTTTAGTTTTTCTGTGAAGATGAACCCGTTTCCAATGAAATCTTCACAGAGGTCCACATATCCACTTGCAGAATCCAAAGAAAGAGAGTTTCAAAAGTGCTCCATCAACAGGATTGTTCACCTCTGTGAGTTGAATGCAGTCATCACAGGAAACATTCTGAGAATGCTTCTGTCTAGGTTTGATGTGAAGATATACCCGTTTCGAAGGAAGGCCACAAAGTGGTCCAAATATCCACTTGCAGATTCTACAAAAAGAGTGTTTGAAAGCTGAACTATGAAAGCAAGGTTCAACTCTGTGAGTTGAATGCAAACATCACAAAGAAGTTTCTCAGAATGCTTCCGTGTAGTTCTGGGAAGTTTATCCCGTTTCCAACGAAATCCTCAGAGAAGTCCAAATATCCACTTGCAGATTCTACAGAAAGTGTGTTTGGAAACTGCTCCATCTAAAGGAATGTTCAGCTCTGTTAGTTCAATGCAATGATCACTAAGAATTGTCTGTGAATGCTTCCGTTTGGTTTTTAGATGAAGTTATTTCCTTTACTACAGTAGGCCTCAAAGCAGTCCAAATCTCCAATCGCAGATTCTACAAAAAGATTGTTTACAACCTGCTCTATCTATAGGAATGTTCAACTCTGTGAGTCGAATGCAATCATCACAAACTAGTTTCTGAGAATGCTTCCATCTAGTTTTTATGTGAAGATTTTCCTTTTCCACCACAGGCCTCAAAGCCCTCCAAATGTCCACTTGCAGATTCTAGAAAAAGAGGGTTTCAGAGCTGCTCTGTCAAGAGGAAAGTTCAATTCTTGAAGTGGAACACAAACATCACAAAACAGTTTCTGAGAATGCTTCTGTTTAGTTTTTCTGTGAAGATGAACCCGTTTCCAACGAAATCTTCACAGAGGTCCACATATCAACTTGCAGAATCCAAAGAAAGAGAGTTTCAAAACTGCTCCATCAACAGGATTGTTCACCTCTGTGAGTTGAATGCAGTCATCACAGGAAACATTCTGAGAATGCTTCTGTCTAGGTTTGATGTGAAGATATACCCGTTTCGAAGGAAGGCCACAAAGTGGTCCAAATATCCACTTGCAGATTCTACAAAAAGAGTGTTTGAAAGCTGAACTATGAAAGCAAGGTTCAACTCTGTGAGTTGAATGCAAACATCACAAAGAAGTTTCTCAGAATGCTTCCGTGTAGTTCTGGGAAGTTTATCCCGTTTCCAACGAAATCCTCAGAGAGGTCCAAATATCCACTTGCAGATTCTACAGAAAGTGTGTTTGGAAACTGCGCCATCTAAGGGAATGTTCAGCTCTGTTAGTTCAATCCAATGATCACTAAGAATTGTCTGTGAATGCTTCCGTTTGGTTTTTAGATGAAGTTATTTCCTTTACTACAGTAGGCCTCAAAGCAGTCCAAATTTCCAATCGCAGATTCTACAAAAAGATTGTTTACAACCTGCTCTATCTATAGGAATGTTCAACTCTGTGAGTCGAATGCAATCATCACAAAGTAGTTTCTGAGAATGCTTCCATCTAGTTTTTATGTGAAGATTTTCCTTTTCCACCACAGGCCTCAAAGCCCTCCAAATGTCCACTTGCAGATTCTAGAAAAAGAGGGTTTCAGAGCTACTCAGTCAAGAGGAAAGTTCAATTCCTGAAGTGGAACGCAAACATCACAAAGCAGTTTCTGAGAATTCTCCTGTTTAGTTTTTCTGTGAAGATGAACCCGTTTCCAACGAAATCTTCACAGAGGTCCACATATCCACCTGCAGAATCCAAAGAAAGAGAGTTTCAAAACTGCTCCATCAGCAGGATTGTTCACCTCTGTGAGTTGAATGCAGTCATCACAGGAAACATTCTGAGAATGCTTCTGTCTAGGTTTGATGTGAAGATATACCCGTTTCGAAGGAAGGCCTCAAAGTGGTCCAAATATCCACTTGCAGATTCTACAAAAAGAGTGTTTGAAAGCTGAACTATGAAAGCAAGGTTCAACTCTGTGAGTTGAATGCAAACATCACAAAGAAGTTTCTCAGAATGCTTCCGTGTAGTTCTGGGAAGTTTATCCCGTTTCCAACGAAATCCTCAGAGAGGTCCAAATATCCACTTGCAGATTCTACAGAAAGTGTGTTTGGAAACTGCTCCATCTAAAGGAATGTTCAGCTCTGTTAGTTCAATCCAATGATCACTAAGAATTGTCTGTGAATGCTTCCGTTTGGTTTTTAGATGAAGTTATTTCCTTTACTACAGTAGGCCTCAAAGCAGTCCAAATCTCCAATCGCAGATTCTACAAAAAGATTGTTTACAACCTGCTCTATCTATAGGAATGTTCAACTCTGTGAGTCGAATGCAATCATCACAAAGTAGTTTCTGAGAATGCTTCCATCTAGTTTTTATGTGAAGATTTTCCTTTTCCACCACAGGCCTCAAAGCCCTCCAAATGTCCACTTGCAGATTCTAGAATAAGAGGGTTTCAGAGCTGCTCTGTCAAGAGGAAAGTTCAATTCCTGAAGTGGAACACAAACATCACAAAGCAGTTTCTGAGAATGCTTCTGTTTAGTTTTTCTGTGAAGATGAACCCGTTTCTAACGAAATCTTCACAGAGGTCCACATATCCACTTGCAGAATCCAAAGAAAGAGAGTTTCAAAACTACTCCATCAGCAGGATTGTTCACCTCTGTGAGTTGAATGCAGTCATCACAGGAAACATTCTGAGAATGCTTCTGTCTAGGTTTGATGTGAAGATATACCCGTTTCGAAGGAAGGCCACAAAGTGGTCCAAATATCCACTTGCAGATTCTACAAAAAGTGTGTTTGAAAGCTGAACTATGAAAGCAAGGTTCAACTCTGTGAGTTGAATGCAAACATCACAAAGAAGTTTCTCAGAATGCTTCCGTGTAGTTCTGGGAAATTTATCCCGTTTCCAACGAAATCCTCAGAGAGGTCCAAATATCCACTTGCAGATTCTACAGAAAGTGTGTTTGGAAACTGCGCCATCTAAAGGAATGTTCAGCTCTGTTAGTTCAATCCAATGATAACTAAGAATTGTCTGTGAATGCTTCCGTTTGGTTTTTAGATGAAGTTATTTCCTTTTCTACAGTAGGCCTCAAAGCAGTCCAAATCTCCAATCGTAGATTCTACAAAAAGATTGTTTACAACCTGCTCTATCTATAGGAATGTTCAACTTTGTGAGTCGAATGCAATCATCACAAAGTAGTTTCTGAGAATGCTTCCATCTAGTTTTTATGGGAAGATTTTCCTTTTCCACCACAGGCCTCAAAGCCCTCCAAATGTCCACTTGCAGATTCTAGAAAAAGAGGGTTTCAGAGCTGCTCTGTCAAGAGGAAAGTTCAATTCTTGAAGTGGAACACAAACATCACAAAGCAGTTTCTGAGAATGCTTCTGTTTAGTTTTTCTGTGAAGATGAACCCGTTTCCAACGAAATCTTCACAGAGGTCCACATATCCACTTGCAGAATCCAAAGAAAGAGAGTTTCAAAACTGCTCCATCAGCAGGATTGTTCACCTCTGTGAGTTGAATGCAGTCATCACAGGAAACATTCTGAGAATGCTTCTGTCTAGGTTTGATGTGAAGATATACCCGTTTCGAAGGAAGGCCACAAAGTGGTCCAAATATCCACTTGCAGATTCTACAAAAAGAGTGTTTGAAAGCTGAACTATGAAAGCAAGGTTCAACTCTGTGAGTTGAATGCAAACATCACAAAGAAGTTTCTCAGAATGCTTCCGTGTAGTTCTGGGAAGTTTATCCCGTTTCCAACGAAATCCTCAGAGAGGTCCAAATATCCACTTGCAGATTCTACAGAAAGTGTGTTTGGAAACTGCGCCATCTACAGGAATGTTCAGCTCTGTTAGTTCAATGCAATGATCACTAAGAATTGTCTGTGAATGCTTCCGTTTGGTTTTTAGATGAAGTTATTTCCTTTACTACAGTAGGCCTCAAAGCAGTCCAAATCTCCAATCGCAGATTCTACAAAAAGATTGTTTACAACCTGCTCTATCTGTAGGAATGTTCAACTCTGTGAGTCGAATGCAATCATCACAAAGTAGTTTCTGAGAATGCTTCCATCTAGTTTTTATGTGAAGATTTTCCTTTTCCACCACAGGCCTCAAAGCCCTCCAAATGTCCACTTGCAGATTCTAGAAAAAGAGGGTTTCAGAGCTGCTCTGTCAAGAGGAAAGTTCAATTCTTGAAGTGGAACACAAACATCACAAAGCAGTTTCTGAGAATGCTTCTGTTTAGTTTTTCTGTGAAGATGAACCCGTTTCCAACGAAATCTTCACAGAGGTCCACATATCAACTTGCAGAATCCAAAGAAAGAGAGTTTCAAAAGTGCTCCATCAACAGGATTGTTCACCTCTGTGAGTTGAATGCAGTCATCACAGGAAACATTCTGAGAATGCTTCTGTCTAGGTTTGATGTGAAGATATACCCGTTTCGAAGGAAGGCCACAAAGTGGTCCAAATATCCACTTGCAGATTCTACAAAAAGAGTGTTTGAAAGCTGAACTATGAAAGCAAGTTTCAACTCTGTGAGTTGAATGCAAACATCACAAAGAAGTTTCTCAGCATGCTTCCGTGTAGTTCTGGGAAGTTTATCCCGTTTCCAACGAAATCCTCAGACAAGTCCAAATATCCACTTGCAGATTCTACAGAAAGTGTGTTTGGAAACTGCTCCATCTAAAGGAATGTTCAGCTCTGTTAGTTCAATGCAATGATCACTAAGAATTGTCTGTGAATGCTTCCGTTTGGTTTTTAGATGAAGTTATTTCCTTTACTACAGTAGGCCTCAAAGCAGTCCAAATCTCCAATCGCAGATTCTACAAAAAGATTGTTTACAACCTGCTCTATGTATAGGAATGTTCAACTCTGTGAGTCGAATGCAATCATCACAAAGTAGTTTCTGAGAATGCTTCCATCTAGTTTTTATGTGAAGATTTTCCTTTTCCACCACAGGCCTCAAAGCCCTCCAAATGTCCACTTGCAGATTCTAGAATAAGAGGGTTTCAGAGCTGCTCTGTCAAGAGGAAAGTTCAATTCCTGAAGTGGAACACAAACATCACAAAGCAGTTTCTGAGAATGCTTCTGTTTAGTTTTTCTGTGAAGATGAACCCGTTTCCAACGAAATCTACACAGAGGTCCACATATCCACTTGCAGAATCCAAAGAAAGAGAGTTTCAAAAGTGCTCCATCAGCAGGATTGTTCACCTCTGTGAGTTGAATGCAGTCATCACAGGAAACATTCTGAGAATGCTTCTGTCTAGGTTTGATGTGAAGATATACCCGTTTCGAAGGAAGGCCACAAAGTGGTCCAAATATCCACTTGCAGATTCTACAAAAAGAGTGTTTGAAAGCTGAACTATGAAAGCAAGGTTCAACTCTGTGAGTTGAATGCAAACATCACAAAGAAGTTTCTCACAATGCTTCCGTGTAGTTCTGGGAAGTTTATCCCGTTTCCAACGAAATCCTCAGAGAAGTCCAAATATCCACTTGCAGATTCTACAGAAAGTGTGTTTGGAAACTGCTCCATCTAAAGGAATGTTCAGCTCTGTTAGTTCAATCCAATGATCACTAAGAATTGTCTGTGAATGCTTCCGTTTGGTTTTTAGATGAAGTAATTTCCTTTACTACAGTAGGCCTCAAAGCAGTCCAAATCTCCAATCGCAGATTCTACAAAAAGATTGTTTACAACCTGCTCTATCTATAGGAATGTTCAACTCTGTGAGTCGAATGCAATCATCACAAAGTAGTTTCTGAGAATGCTTCCATCTAGTTTTTATGTGAAGATTTTCCTTTTCCACCACAGGCCTCAAAGCCCTCCAAATGTCCACTTGCAGATTCTAGAAAAAGAGGGTTTCAGAGCTGCTCTGTCAAGAGGAAAGTTCAATTCTTGAAGTGGAACACAAACATCACAAAGCAGTTTCTGAGAATGCTCCTGTTTAGTTTTTCTGTGAAGATGAACCCGTTTCCAACGAAATCTTCACAGAGGTCCACATATCCACTTGCAGAATCCAAAGAAAGAGAGTTTCAAAACTGCTCCAACAGCAGGATTGTTCGCCTCTGTGAGTTGAATGCAGTCATCACAGGAAACATTCTGAGAATGCTTCTGTCTAGGTTTGATGTGAAGATATACCCGTTTCGAAGGAAGGCCACAAAGTGGTCCAAATATCCACTTGCAGATTCTACAAAAAGAGTGTTTGAAAGCTGAACTATGAAAGCAAGGTTCAACTCTGTGAGTTGAATGCAAACATCACAAAGAAGTTTCTCACAATGCTTCCGTGTAGTTCTGGGAAGTTTATCCCGTTTCCAACGAAATCCTCAGAGAGGTCCAAATATCCACTTGCAGATTCTACAGAAAGTGGGTTTGGAAACTGCTCCATCTAAAGGAATGTTCAGCTCTGTTAGTTCAATCCAATGATCACTAAGAATTGTCTGTGAATGCTTCCGTTTGGTTTTTAGATGAAGTTATTTCCTTTACTACAGTAGGCCTCAAAGCAGTCCAAATCTCCAATCGCAGATTCTACAAAAAGATTGTTTACAACCTGCTCTATCTATAGGAATGTTCAACCCTGTGAGTCGAATGCAATCATCACAAAGTAGTTTCTGAGAATGCTTCCATCTAGTTTTTATGTGAAGATTTTCCTTTTCCACCACAGGCCTCAAAGCCCTCCAAATGTCCACTTGCAGATTCTAGAATAAGAGGGTTTCAGAGCTGCCTCTGTCAAGAGGAAAGTACAATTCCTGAAGTGGAACACAAACATCACAAAGCAGTTTCTGAGAATGCTTCTGTTTAGTTTTTCTGTGAAGATGAACCCGTTTCCAACGAAATCTTCACAGAGGTCCACATATCCACTTGCAGAATCCAAAGAAAGAGAGTTTCAAAACAGCTCCATCAGCAGGATTGTTCACCTCTGTGAGTTGAATGCAGTCATCACAGGAAACATTCTGAGAATGCTTCTGTCTAGGTTTGATGTGAAGATATACCCGTTTCGAAGGAAGGCCACAAAGTGGTCCAAATATCCACTTGCAGATTCTACAAAAAGAGTGTTTGAAAGCTGAACTATGAAAGCAAGGTTCAACTCTGTGAGTTGAATGCAAACATCACAAAGAAGTTTCTCACAATGCTTCCGTGTAGTTCTGGGTAGTTTATCCCGTTTCCAACGAAATCCTCAGAGAAGTCCAAATATCCACTTGCAGATTCTACAGAAAGTGGGTTTGGAAACTGCTCCATCTAAAGGAATGTTCAGCTCTGTTAGTTCAATCCAATGATCACTAAGAATTGTCTGTGAATGCTTCCGTTTGGTTTTTAGATGAAGTAATTTCCTTTACTACAGTAGGCCTCAAAGCAGTCCAAATCTCCAATCGCAGATTCTACAAAAAGATTGTTTACAACCTGCTCTATCTATAGGAATGTTCAACTCTGTGAGTCGAATGCAATCATCACAAAGAAGTTTCTGAGAATGCTTCCATAAAATTTTTATGTGAAGATTTTCCTTTTCCACCACAGGCCTCAAAGCCCTCCAAATGTCCACTTGCAGATTCTAGAAAAAGAGGGTTTCAGAGCTGCTCTGTCAAGAGGAAAGTTCAATTCTTTAAGTGGAACACAAACATCACAAAGCAGTTTCTGAGAATGCTCCTGTTTAGTTTTTCTGTGAAGATGAACCCGTTTCCAACGAAATCTTCACAGAGGTCCACATATCCACTTGCAGAATCCATAGAAAGAGAGTTTCAAAACTGCTCCATCAGCAGGATTGTTCACCTCTGTGAGTTGAATGCAGTCATCACAGGAAACATTCTGAGAATGCTTCTGTCTAGGTTTGATGTGAAGATATACCCGTTTCGAAGGAAGGCCACAAAGTGGTCCAAATATCCACTTGCAGATTCTACAAAAAGAGTGTTTGAAAGCTGAACTATGAAAGCAAGGTTCAACTCTGTGAGTTGAATGCAAACATCACAAAGAAGTTTCTCACAATGCTTCCGTGTAGTTCTGGGAAGTTTATCCCGTTTCCAACGAAATCCTCAGAGAAGTCCAAATATCCACTTGCAGATTCTACAGAAAGTGTGTTTGGAAACTGCTACATCTAAAGGAATGTTCAGCTCTGTTAGTTCAATCCAATGATCACTAAGAATTGTCTGTGAATGCTTCCGTTTGGTTTTTAGATGAAGTTATTTCCTTTACTACAGTAGGCCTCAAAGCAGTCCAAATCTCCAATCGCAGATTCTACAAAAAGATTGTTTACAACCTGCTCTATCTATAGGAATGTTCAACTCTGTGAGTCGAATGCAATCATCACAAAGTAGTTTCTGAGAATGCTTCCATCTAGTTTTTATGTGAAGATTTTCCTTTTCCACCACAGGCCTCAAAGCCCTCCAAATGTCCACTTGCAGATTCTAGAAAAAGAGGGTTTCAGAGCTGCTCTGTCAAGAGGAAAGTTCAATTCTTGAAGTGGAACACAAACATCACAAAGTAGTTTCTGAGAATGCTTCTGTTTAGTTTTTCTGTGAAGATGAACCCGTTTCCAACGAAATGTTCTCAGAGGTCCACATATCAACTTGCAGAATCCAAAGAAAGAGAGTTTCAAAAGTGCTCCATCAACAGGATTGTTCACCTCTGTGAGTTGAATGCAGTCATCACAGGAAACATTCTGAGAATGCTTCTGTCTAGGTTTGATGTGAAGATATACCCGTTTCGAAGGAAGGCCACAAAGTGGTCCAAATATCCACTTGCAGATTCTACAAAAAGAGTGTTTGAAAGCTGAACTATGAAAGCAAGGTTCAACTCTGTGAGTTGAATGCAAACATCACAAAGAAGTTTCTCAGCATGCTTCCGTGTAGTTCTGGGAAGTTTATCCCGTTTCCAACGAAATCCTCAGAGAAGTCCAAATATCCACTTGCAGATTCTACAGAAAGTGTGTTTGGAAACTGCGCCGTCTAAAGCAATGTTCAGCTCTGTTAGTTCAATGCAATGATCACTAAGAATTGTCTGTGAATGCTTCCGTTTGGTTTTTAGATGAAGATATTTCCTTTAGTACCGCAGGCCTCAATGCAGTCCAAATCAGCAATGACAGATTCTACAAAAAGAGTGTTTAGAAACTGCTCTCTCCATTGGAAGGTTCAACTCTGTGAGTCGAATGCTATCATCACAAAGTAGTTTCTGAGAATGCTTCCATCTAGTTTTAATGTGAAGATATTCCTTTTCCACCACAGGCCTCAAAGCCCTCCAAATGTCCACTTGCAGATTCTAGAAAAAGAGGGTTTCAGAGCTGCTCTGTCAAGAGGAAAGTTCAATTCTTGAAGAGGAACACAAACATCACAAAGCAGTTTCTGAGAATGCTTCCTGTTTAGTTTTTCTGTGAAGATGAACCCGTTTCCAACGAAATCTTCACAGAGGTCCACATATCCACTTGCAGAATCCAAAGAAAGAGAGTTTCAAAACTGCTCCATCAGCAGGATTGTTCACCTCTGTGAGTTGAATGCAGTCATCACAGGAAAACATTCTGAGAATGCTTCTGTCTAGGTTTGATGTGAAGATATACCCGTTTCGAAGGAAGGCCACAAAGTGGTCCAAATATCCACTTGCAGATTCTACAAAAAGAGTGTTTGAAAGCTGAACTATGAAAGCAAGGTTCAACTCTGTGAGTTGAATGCAAACATCACAAAGAAGTTTCTCAGAATGCTTCCGTGTAGTTCTGGGAAGTTTATCCCGTTTCCAACGAAATCCTCAGAGAGGTCCAAATATCCACTTGCAGATTCTACAGAAAGTGTGTTTGGAAACTGCGCCATCTAAGGGAATCTTCAGCTCTGTTAGTTCAATCCAATGATCACTAAGAATTGTCTGTGAATGCTTCCGTTTGGTTTTTAGATGAAGTTCTTTCCTTTACTACAGTAGGCCTCAAAGCATTCCAAATCTCCAATCGCAGATTCTACAAAAGGATTGTTTACAACCTGCTCTATCTATAGGAATGTTCAACTCTGTGAGTCGAATGCAATCATCACAAAGTAGTTTCTGAGAATGCTTCCATCTAGTTTTTATGTGAAGATTTTCCTTTTCCACCACAGGCCTCAAAGCCCTCCAAATGTCCACTTGCAGATTCTAGAAAAAGAGGGTTTCAGAGCTGCTCTGTCAAGAGGAAAGTTCAATTCCTGAAGTGGAACACAAACATCACAAAGCAGTTTCTGAGAATGCTCCTGTTTAGTTTTTCTGTGAAGATGAACCCTTTTCCAACGAAATCTTCACAGAGGTCCACATATCCACATGCAGAATCCAAAGAAAGAGAGTTTCAAAACTGCTCCATCAGCAGGATTGTTCACCTCTGTGAGTTGAATGCAGTCATCACAGGAAACATTCTGAGAATGCTTCTGTCTAGGTTTGATGTGAAGATATACCCGTTTCGAAGGAAGGCCACAAAGTGGTCCAAATATCCACTTGCAGATTCTACAAAAAGAGTGTTTGAAAGCTGAACTATGAAAGCAAGGTTCAACTCTGTGAGTTGAATGCAAACATCACAAAGAAGTTTCTCAGAATGCTTCCGTGTAGTTCTGGGAAGTTTATCCCGTTTCCAACGAAATCCTCAGAGGAGGTCCAAATATCCACTTGCAGATTCTACAGAAAGTGTGTTTGGAAACTGCGCCATCTAAGGGAATGTTCAGCTCTGTTAGTTCAATCCAATGATCACTAAGAATTGTCTGTGAATGCTTCCGTTTGGTTTTTAGATGAAGTTATTTCCTTTACTACAGTAGGCCTCAAAGCAGTCCAAATCTCCAATCGCAGATTCTACAAAAAGATTGTTTACAACCTGCTCTATCTATAGGAATGTTCAACTCTGTGAGTCGAATGCAATCATCACAAAGTAGTTTCTGAGAATGCTTCCATCTAGTTTTTATGTGAAGATTTTCCTTTTCCACCACAGGCCTCAAAGCCCTCCAAATGTCCACTTGCAGATTCTAGAATAAGAGGGTTTCAGAGCTGCTCTGTCAAGAGGAAAGTTCAATTCTTGAAGTGGAACACAAACATCACAAAGCAGTTTCTGAGAATGCTCCTGTTTAGTTTTTCTGCGAAGATGAACCCGTTTCCAACGAAATCTTCACAGAGGTCCACATATCCACTTGCAGAATCCAAAGAAAGAGAGTTTCAAAACTGCTCCAACAGCAGGATTGTTCACCTCTGTGAGTTGAATGCAGTCATCACAGGAAACATTCTGAGAATGCTTCTGTCTAGGTTTGATGTGAAGATATACCCGTTTCGAAGGAAGGCCACAAAGTGGTCCAAATATCCACTTGCAGATTCTACAAAAAGAGTGTTTGAAAGCTGAACTATGAAAGCAAGGTTCAACTCTGTGAGTTGAATGCAAACATCACAAAGAAGTTTCTCAGAATGCTTCCGTGTAGTTCTGGGAAGTTTATCCCGTTTCCAACGAAATCCTCAGAGAGGTCCAAATATCCACTTGCAGATTCTACAGAAAGTGTGTTTGGAAACTGCGCCATCTAAAGGAATGTTCAGCTCTGTTAGTTCAATCCAATGATCACTAAGAATTGTCTGTGAATGCTTCCGTTTGGTTTTTAGATGAAGTTATTTCCTTTACTACAGTAGGCCTCAAAGCAGTCCAAATCTCCAATCGCAGATTCTACAAAAAGATTGTTTACAACCTGCTCTATCTATAGGAATGTTCAACTCTGTGAGTCGAATGCAATCATCACAAAGTAGTTTCTGAGAATGCTTCCATCTAGTTTTTATGTGAAGATTTTCCTTTTCCACCACAGGCCTCAAAGCCCTCCAAATGTCCACTTGCAGATTCTAGAATAAGAGGGTTTCAGAGCTGCTCTGTCAAGAGGAAAGTTCAATTCCTGAAGTGGAACACAAACTTCACAAAGCAGTTTCTGAGAATGTTTCTTTTTAGTTTTTCTGGGAAGATGAACCCGTTTCCAACGAAATCTTCACAGAGGTCCACATATCCACTTGCAGAATCCAAAGAAAGAGAGTTTCAAAAGTGCTTCATCAACAGGATTGTTCACCTCTGTGAGTTGAATGCAGTCATCACAGGAAACATTCTGAGAATGCTTCTGTCTATGTTTGATGTGAAGATATACCCGTTTCGAAGAAAGGCCACAAAGTGGTCCAAATATCCACTTGCAGATTCTACAAAAAGAGTGTTTGAAAGCTGAACTATGAAAGCAAGGTTCAACTCTGTGAGTTGAATGCAAACATCACAAAGAAGTTTCTCAGCATGCTTCCGTGTAGTTCTGGGAAGTTTATCCCGTTTCCAACGAAATCCTCAGAGAAGTCCAAATATCCACTTGCAGATTCTACAGAAAGTGTGTTTGGAAACTGCTCCATCTAAAGGAATGTTCAGCTCTGTTAGTTCAATCCAATGATCACTAAGAATTGTCTGTGAATGCTTCCGTTTGGTTTTTAGATGAAGTTATTTCCTTTACTACAGTAGGCCTCAAAGCAGTCCAAATCTCCAATCGCAGATTCTACAAAAAGATTGTTTACAACCTGCTCTATCTATAGGAATGTTCAACTCTGTGAGTCGAATGCAATCATCACAAAGGAGTTTCTGAGAATGCTTCCATCTAGTTTTTATGTGAAGATTTTCCTTTTCCACCACAGGCCTCAAAGCCCTCCAAATGTCCACTTGCAGATTCTAGAAAAAGAGGGTTTCAGAGCTGCTCTGTCAAGAGGAAAGTTCAATTCCTGAAGTGGAACATAAACATCACAAAGCAGTTTCTGAGAATGCTTCTGTTTAGTTTTTCTGTGAAGATGAACCCGTTTCCAACCAAATCTTCACAGAGGTCCACATATCCACTTGCAGAATCCAAAGAAAGAGAGTTTCAAAACTGCTCCATCAACAGGATTGTTCACCTCTGTGAGTTGAATGCAGTCATCACAGGAAACATTCTGAGAATGCTTCTGTCTAGGTTTGATGTGAAGATATACCCGTTTCGAAGGAAGGCCACAAAGTGGTCCAAATATCCACTTGCAGATTCTACAAAAAGAGTGTTTGAAAGCTGAACTATGAAAGCAAGGTTCAACTCTGTGAGTTGAATGCAAACATCACAAAGAAGTTTCTCAGAATGCTTCCGTGTAGTTCTCGGAAGTTTATCCCGTTTCCAACGAAATCCTCAGAGAAGTCCAAATATCCACTTGCAGATTCTACAGAAAGTCTTTTGGAAACTGCGCCATCTAAAGGAATGTTCAGCTCTGTTAGTTCAATCCAGTGATCACTAAGAATTGTCTTTGAATGCTTCCGTTTGGTTTTTAGATGAAGTTATTTCCTTTACTACAGTAGGCCTCAAAGCAGTCCAAATCTCCAATCGCAGATTCTACAAAAAGATTGTTTACAACCTGCTCTATCTATAGGAATGTTCAACTCTGTGAGTCGAATGCAATCATCACAAAGTAGTTTCTGAGAATGCTTCCATCTAGTTTTTATGTGAAGATTTTCCTTTTCCACCACAGGCCTCAAAGCCCTCCAAATGTCCACTTGCAGATTCTAGAAAAAGAGGGTTTCAGAGCTGCTCTGTCAAGAGGAAAGTTCAATTCTTGAAGTGGAACAGAAACATCACAAAGCAGTTTCTGGGAATGCTTCTGTTTAGTTTTTCTGTGAAGATGAACGCGTTTCCAACGAAATCTTCACAGAGGTCCACATATCCACTTGCAGAATCCAAAGAAAGAGAGTTTCAAAACTGCTCCATCAGCAGGATTGTTCACCTCTGTGAGTTGAATGCAGTCATCACAGGAAACATTCTGAGAATGCTTCTGTCTAGGTTTGATGTGAAGATATACCCGTTTCGAAGGAAGGCCACAAAGTGGTCCAAATATCCACTTGCAGATTCTACAAAAAGAGGGTTTGAAAGCTGAACTATGAAAGCAAGGTTCAACTCTGTGAGTTGAATGCAAACATCACAAAGAAGTTTCTCAGAATGCTTCCGTGTAGTTCTGGGAAGTTTATCCCGTTTCCAACGAAATCCTCAGAGAGGTCCAAATATCCACTTGCAGATTCTACAGAAAGTGTGTTTGGAAACTGCGCCATCTAAAGGAATGTTCAGCTCTGTTAGTTCAATGCAATGATCACTAAGAATTGTCTGTGAATGCTTCCGTTTGGTTTTTAGATGAAGTTATTTCCTTTACTACAGTAGGCCTCAAAGCAGTCCAAATCTCCAATCGCAGATTCTACAAAAAGATTGTTTACAACCTGCTCTATCTATAGGAATGTTCAACTCTGTGAGTCGAATGCAATCATCACAAAGTAGTTTCTGAGAATGCTTCCATCTAGTTTTTATGTGAAGATTTTCCTTTTCCACCACAGGCCTCAAAGCCCTCCAAATGTCCACTTGCAGATTCTAGAAAAAGAGGGTTTCAGAGCTGCTCTGTCAAGAGGAAAGTTCAATTCTTGAAGTGGAACACAAACATCACAAAGCAGTTTCTGAGAATGCTTCTGTTTAGTTTTTCTGTGAAGATGAACCCGTTTCCAACGAAATCTTCACAGAGGTCCACATATCCACTTGCAGAATCCAAAGAAAGAGAGTTTCAAAACTGCTCCATCAGCAGGATTGTTCACCTCTGTGAGTTGAATGCAGTCATCACAGGAAACATTCTGAGAATGCTTCTGTCTAGGTTTGATGTGAAGATATACCCGTTTCGAAGGAAGGCCACAAAGTGGTCCAAATATCCACTTGCAGATTCTACAAAAAGAGTGTTTGAAAGCTGAACTATGAAAGCAAGGTTCAACTCTGTGAGTTGAATGCAAACATCACAAAGAAGTTTCTCAGAATGCTTCCGTGTAGTTCTGGGAAGTTTATCCCGTTTCCAACGAAATCCTCAGAGAGGTCCAAATATCCACTTTCAGATTCTACAGAAAGTGTGTTTGGAAACTGCGCCATCTAAAGGAATGTTCAGCTCTGTTAGTTCAATGCAATGATCACTAAGAATTGTCTGTGAATGCTTCCGTTTGGTTTTTAGATGAAGTTATTTCCTTTACTACAGTAGGCCTCAAAGCAGTCCAAATCTCCAATCACAGATTCTACAAAAAGATTGTTTACAACCTGCTCTATCTATAGGAATGTTCAACTATGTGAGTCGAATGCAATCATCACAAAGTAGTTTCTGAGAATGCTTCCATCTAGTTTTTATGTGAAGATTTTCCTTTTCCACCACAGGCCTCAAAGTCCTCCAAATGTACACTTGCTGATTCTAGAAAAAGAGGGTTTCAGAGCTGCTCTGTCAAGAGGAAAGTTCAATTCTTGAAGTGGAACACAAACATCACAAAGCAGTTTCTGAGAATGCTCCTGTTTAGTTTTTCTGTGAAGATGAACCCGTTTCCAACGAAATCTTCACAGAGGTCCACATATCCACTTGCAGAATCCAAAGAAAGAGAGTTTCAAAACTGCTCCATCAGCAGGATTGTTCACCTCTGTGAGTTGAATGCAGTCATCACAGGAAACATTCTGAGAATGCTTCCTGTCTAGGTTTGATGTGAAGATATACCCGTTTCGAAGGAAGGCCACAAAGTGGTCCAAATATCCACTTGCAGATTCTACAAAAAGAGTGTTTGAAAGCTGAACTATGAAAGCAAGGTTCAACTCTGTGAGTTGAATGCAAACATCACAAAGAAGTTTCTCAGAATGCTTCCGTGTAGTTCTGGGAAGTTTATCCCGTTTCCAACGAAATCCTCAGAGAAGTCCAAATATCCACTTGCAGATTCTACAGAAAGTGTGTTTGGAAACTGCTCCATCTAAAGGAATGTTCAGCTCTGTTAGTTCAATCCAATGATCACTAAGAATTGTCTGTGAATGCTTCCGTTTGGTTTTTAGATGAAGTTATTTCCTTTACTACAGTAGGCCTCAAAGCAGTCCAAATCTCCAATCGCAGATTCTACAAAAAGATTGTTTACAACCTGCTCTATGTATAGGAATGTTCAACTCTGTGAGTCGAATGCAATCATCACAAAGTAGTTTCTGAGAATGCTTCCATCTAGTTTTTATGTGAAGATTTTCCTTTTCCACCACAGGCCTCAAAGCCCTCCAAATGTCCACTTGCAGATTCTAGAAAAAGAGGGTTTCAGAGCTGCACTTTCAAGAGGAAAGTTGAATTCCTGAAGTGGAACACAAACATCACAAAGCAGTTTCTGAGAATGCTTCTGTTTAGTTTTTCTGTGAAGATGAACCCGTTTCCAACGAAATCTTCACAGAGGTCCACATATCCACTTGCAGAATCCAAAGAAAGAGAGTTTCAAAACTGCTCCATCAGCAGGATTGTTAACCTCTGTGAGTTGAATGCAGTCATCACAGGAAACATTCTGAGAATGCTTCTGTCTAGGTTTGATGTGAAGATATACCCTTTTCAAAGGAAGGCCACAAAGTGGTCCAAATATCCACTTGCAGATTCTACAAAAAGAGTGTTTGAAAGCTGAACTATGAAAGCAAGGTTCAACTCTGTGAGTTGAATGCAAACATCACAAAGAAGTTTCTCACAATGCTTCCGTGTAGTTCTGGGAAGTTTATCCCGTTTCCAACGAAATCCTCAGAGAAGTCCAAATATCCACTTGCAGATTCTGCAGAAAGTGTGTTTGGAAACTGCTCCATCTAAAGGAATGTTCAGCTCTGTTAGTTCAATCCAATGATCACTAAGAATTGTCTGTGAATGCTTCCGTTTGGTTTTTAGATGAAGTTATTTCCTTTACTACAGTAGGCCTCAAAGCAGTCCAAATCTCCAATCGCAGATTCTACAAAAACATTGTTTACAACCTGCTCTATCTATAGGAATGTTCAACTCTGTGAGTAGAATGCAATCATCACAAAGTAGTTTCTGAGAATGCTTCCATCTAGTTTTTATGGGAAGATTTTCCTTTTCCACCACAGGCCTCAAAGCCCTCCAAATGTCCACTTGCAGATTCTAGAAAAAGAGGGTTTCAGAGCTGCTCTGTCAAGAGGAAAGTTCAATTCTTGAAGTGGAACACAAACATCACAAAGCAGTTTCTGAGAATGCTTCTGTTTAGATTTTCTGTGAAGATGAACCCGTTTCCAACGAAATCTTCACAGAGGTCCACATATCAACTTGCAGAATCCAAAGAAAGAGAGTTTCAAAACTGCTCCATCAACAGGATTGTTCACCTCTGTGAGTTGAATGCAGTCATCACAGGAAACATTCTGAGAATGCTTCTGTCTAGGTTTGATGTGAAGATATACCCGTTTCGAAGGAAGGCCACAAAGTGGTCCAAATATCCACTTGCAGGTTCTACAAAAAGAGTGTTTGAAAGCTGAACTATGAAAGCAAGGATCAACTCTGTGAGTTGAATGCAAACATCACAAAGAAGTTTCTCACAATGCTTCCGTGTAGTTCTGGGAAGTTTATCCCGTTTCCAACGAAATCCTCAGAGAAGTCCAAATATCCACTTGCAGATTCTACAGAAAGTGTGTTTCGAAACTGCTCCATCTAAAGGAATGTTCAGCTCTGTTAGTTCAATCCAATGATCACTAAGAATTGTCTGTGAATGCTTCCGTTTGGTTTTTAGATGAAGTTATTTCCTTTACTACAGTAGGCCTCAAAGCAGTCCAAATCTCCAATCGCAGATTCTACAAAAAGATTGTTTACAACCTGCTCTATCTATAGGAATGTTCAACTCTGTGAGTCGAATGCAATCATCACAAAGTAGTTTCTGAGAATGCTTCCATCTAGTTTTTATGTGAAGATTTTCCTTTTCCACCACAGGCCTCAAAGCCCTCCAAATGTCCACTTGCAGATTCTAGAATAAGAGGGTTTCAGAGCTGCTCTGTCAAGAGGAAAGTTCAATTCCTGAAGTGGAACACAAACATCACAAAGCAGTTTCCGAGAATGCTTCTGTTTAGTTTTTCTGTGAAGATGAACCCGTTTCCAACGAAATCTTCACAGAGGTCCACATATCCACTTGCAGAATCCAAAGAAAGAGAGTTTCAAAACTGCTCCATCAGCAGGATTGTTCACCTCTGTGAGTTGAATGCAGTCATCACAGGAAACATTCTGAGAATGCTTCTGTCTAGGTTTGATGTGAAGATATACCCGTTTCGAAGGAAGGCCACAAAGTGGTCCAAATATCCACTTGCAGATTCTACAAAAAGAGTGTTTGAAAGCTGAACTATGAAAGCAAGGTTCAACTCTGTGAGTTGAATGCAAACATCACAAAGAAGTTTCTCCCAATGCTTCCGTGTAGTTCTGGGAAGTTTATCCCGTTTCCAACGAAATCCTCAGAGAAGTCCAAATATCCACTTGCAGATTCTACAGAAAGTGTGTTTGGAAACTGCTCCATCTAAAGGAATGTTCAGCTCTGTTAGTTCAATGCAATGATCACTAAGAATTGTCTGTGAATGCTTCCGTTTGGTTTTTAGATGAAGTTGTTTCCTTTACTACAGTAGGCCTCAAAGCAGTCCAAATCTCCAATCGCAGATTCTACAAAAAGATTGTTTACAACCTGCTCTATCTATAGGAAGGTTCAACTCTGTGAGTCGAATGCAATCATCACAGAGTAGTTTCTGAGAATGCTTCCATCTAGTTTTTATGTGAAGATTTTCCTTTTCCACCACAGGCCTCAAAGCCCTCCAAATGTCCACTTGCAGATTCTAGAAAAAGAGGGTTTCAGAGCTGCTCTGTCAAGAGGAAAGTTCAATTCCTGAAGTGGAACACAAACATCACAAAGTAGTTTCTGAGAATGCTTCTGTTTAGTTTTTCTGTGAAGATGAACCCGTTTCCAACGAAATCTTCACAGAGGTCCACATATCCACTTGCAGAATCCAAAGAAAGAGAGTTTCAAAAGTGCTCCATCAACAGGATTGTTCACCTCTGTGAGTTGAATGCAGTCATCACAGGAAACATTCTGAGAATGCTTCTGTCTAGGTTTGATGTGAAGATATACCCGTTTCGAAGGAAGGCCACAAAGTGGTCTAAATATCCACTTGCAGATTCTACAAAATGAGTGTTTGAAAGCTGAACTATGAAAGCAAGGTTCAACTCTGTGAGTTGAATGCAAACATCACAAAGAAGTTTCTCAGCATGCTTCCGTGTAGTTCTGGGAAGTTTATCCCGTTTCCAACGAAATCCTCACAGAAGTCCAAATATCCACTTGCAGATTCTACAGAAAGTGTGTTTGTAAACTGCTCTATCTAAAGGAATGTTCAGCTCTGTTTGTTCAATCCAATGATCACTAAGTATTGTCTGTGAATGCTTCAGTTTGGTTTTTAGATGAAGTTATTTCCTTTACTACAGTAGGCCTCAAAGCAGTCCAAATCTCCAATCGCAGATTCTACAAAAAGATTGTTTACAACCTGCTCTATCTATAGGAATGTTCAACTCTGTGAGTCGAATGCAATCATCACAAAATAGTTTCTGAGAATGCTTCCATCTAGTTTTTATGGGAAGATTTTCCTTTTCCACCACAGGCCTCAAAGCCCTCCAAATGTCCACTTGCAGATTCTAGAAAAAGAGGGTTTCAGAGCTGCTCTGTCAAGAGGAAAGTTCAATTCTTGAAGTGGAACACAAACATCACAAAGCAGTTTCTGAGAATGCTCCTGTTTAGTTTTTCTGTGAAGATGAACACGTTTCCAACGAAATCTTCACAGAGGTCCACATATCCACTTGCAGAATCCAAAGAAAGAGAGTTTCAAAACTGCTCCATCAGCAGGATTGTTCACCTCTGTGAGTTGAATGCAGTCATCACAGGAAACATTCTGAGAATGCTTCTGTCTAGGTTTGATGTGAAGATATACCCGTTTCGAAGGAAGGCCACAAAGTGGTCCAAATATCCACTTGCAGATTCTACAAAAAGAGTGTTTGAAAGCTGAACTATGAAAGCAAGGTTCAACTCTGTGAGTTGAATGCAAACATCACAAAGAAGTTTCTCACAATGCTTCCGTGTAGTTCTGGGAAGTTTATCCCGTTTCCAACGAAATCCTCAGAGAAGTCCAAATATCCACTTGCAGATTCTACAGAAAGAGGGTTTGGAAACTGCTCCATCTAAAGGAATGTTCAGCTCTGTTAGTTCAATCCAATGATCACTAAGAATTGTCTGTGAATGCTTCCGTTTGATTTTTAGATTAAGTTATTTCCTTTACTACAGTAGGCCTCAAAGCAGTCCAAATCTCCAATCGCAGATTCTACAAAAAGATTGTTTACAACCTGCTCTATCTATAGGAATGTTCAACTCTGTGAGTCGAATGCAATCATCACAAAGTAGTTTCTCAGAATGCTTCCATCTAGTTTTTATGTGAAGATTTTCCTTTTCCACCACAGGCCTCAAAGCCCTCCAAATGTCCACTTGCAGATTCTAGAATAAGAGGGTTTCAGAGCTGCTCTGTCAAGAGGAAAGTTCAATTCCTGAAGTGGAACACAAACATCACAAAGCAGTTTCTGAGAATGCTTCTGTTTAGTTTTTCTGTGAAGATGAACCCGTTTCCAACGAAATCTTCACAGAGGTCCACATATCCACTTGCAGAATCCAAAGAAAGAGAGTTTCAAAACTGCTCCATCAGCAGGATTGTTCACCTCTGTGAGTTGAATGCAGTCATCACAGGAAACATTCTGAGAATGCTTCTGTCTAGGTTTGATGTGAAGATATACCCGTTTCGAAGGAAGGCCACAAAGTGGTCCAAATATCCACTTGCAGATTCTACAAAAAGAGTGTTTGAAAGCTGAACTATGAAAGCAAGGTTCAACTCTGTGAGTTGAATGCAAACATCACAAAGAAGTTTCTCAGAATGCTTCCGTGTAGTTCTGGGAAGTTTATCCCGCTTCCAACGAAATCCTCAGAGAAGTCCAAATATCCACTTGCAGATTCTACAGAAAGTGTGTTTGGAAACTGCGCCATCTAAAGGAATGTTCAGTTCTGTTAGTTCAATGCAATGATCACTAAGAATTGTCTGTGAATGCTTCCGTTTGGTTTTTAGATGAAGTTATTTCCTTTACTACAGTAGGCCTCAAAGCAGTCCAAATCTCCAATCGCAGATTCTACAAAAAGATTGTTTACAACCTGCTCTATCTATAGGAATGTTCAACTCTGTGAGTCGAATGCAATCATCACAAAGTAGTTTCTGAGAATGCTTCCATCTAGTTTTTATGTGAAGATTTTCCTTTTCCACCACAGGCCTCAAAGCCCTCCAAATGTCCACTTGCAGATTCTAGAAAAAGAGGGTTTCAGAGCTGCTCTGTCAAGAGGAAAGTTCAATTCTTGAAGTGGAACACAAACATCACAAAGCAGTTTCTGAGAATGCTCCTGTTTAGTTTTTCTGTGAAGATGAACCCGTTTCCAACGAAATCTTCACAGAGGTCCACATATCCACTTGCAGAATCCAAAGAAAGAGAGTTTCAAAACTGCTCCAACAGCAGGATTGTTCACCTCTGTGAGTTGAATGCAGTCATCACAGGAAACATTCGGAGAATGCTTCTGTCTAGGTTTGATGTGAAGATATACCCGTTTCGAAGGAAGGCCACAAAGTGGTCCAAATATCCACTTGCAGATTCTACAAAAAGAGTGTTTGAAAGCTGAACTATGAAAGCAAGGTTCAACTCTGTGAGTTGAATGCAAACATCACAAAGAAGTTTCTCACAATGCTTCCGTGTAGTTCTGGGAAGTTTATCCCGTTTCCAACGAAATCCTCAGAGAGGTCCAAATATCCACTTGCAGATTCTACAGAAAGTGTGTTTGGAAACTGCGCCATCTAAAGGAATGTTCAGGTCTGTTAGTTCAATGCAATGATAACTAAGAATTGTCTGTGAATGCTTCCGTTTGGTTTTTAGATGAAGTTATTTCCTTTACTACAGTAGGCCTCAAAGCAGTCCAAATCTCCAATCGCAGATTCTACAAAAAGATTGTTTACAACCTGCTCTATCTATAGGAATGTTCAACTCTGTGAGTCGAATGCAATCATCACAAAGTAGTTTCTGAGAATGCTTCCATCTAGTTTTTATGTGAAGATTTTCCTTTTCCACCACAGGCCTCAAAGCCCTCCAAATGTCCACTTGCAGATTCTAGAATAAGAGGGTTTTAGAGCTGCTCTGTCAAGAGGAAAGTTCAATTCCTGAAGTGGAACACAAACATCACAAAGCAGTTTCTGAGAATGCTTCTGTTTAGTTTTTCTGTGAAGATGAACCCGTTTCCAACGAAATCTTCACAGAGGTCCACATATCCACTTGCAGAATCCAAAGAAAGAGAGTTTCAAAACTGCTCCATCAGCAGGATTGTTCACCTCTGTGAGTTGAATGCAGTCATCACAGGAAACATTCTGAGAATGCTTCTGTCTAGGTTTGATGTGAAGATATACCCGTTTCGAAGGAAGGCCACAAAGTGGTCCAAATATCCACTTGCAGATTCTACAAAAAGAGTGTTTGAAAGCTGAACTATGAAAGCAAGGTTCAACTCTGTGAGTTGAATGCAAACATCACAAAGAAGTTTCTCAGAATGCTTCCGTGTAGTTCTGGGAAGTATATCCCGTTTCCAACGAAATCCTCAGAGAAGTCCAAATATCCACTTGCAGATTCTACAGAAAGTGGGTTTGGAAACTGCTCCATCTAAAGGAATGTTCAGCTCTGTTAGTTCAATGCAATGATCACTAAGAATTGTCTGTGAATGCTTCCGTTTGGTTTTTAGATGAAGTTATTTCCTTTACTACAGTAGGCCTCAAAGCAGTCCAAATCTCCAATCGCAGATTCTACAAAAAGATTGTTTACAACCTGCTCTATGTATAGGAATGTTCAACTCTGTGAGTCGAATGCAATCATCACAAAGTAGTTTCTGAGAATGCTTCCATCTAGTTTTTATGTGAAGATTTTCCTTTTCCACCACAGGCCTCAAAGCCCTCCAAATGTCCACTTGCAGATTCTAGAATAAGAGGGTTTCAGAGCTGCTCTGTCAAGAGGAAAGTTCAATTCCTGAAGTGGAACACAAACATCACAAAGCAGTTTCTGAGAATGCTTCTGTTTAGTTTTTCTGTGAAGATGAACCCGTTTCCAACGAAATCTTCACAGAGGTCCACATATCCACTTGCAGAATCCAAAGAAGGAGAGTTTCAAAACTGCTCCATCAGCAGGATTGTTCACCTGCTGTGAGTTGAATGCAGTCATCACAGGAAACATTCTGAGAATGCTTCTGTCTAGGTTTGATGTGAAGATATACCCGTTTCGAAGGAAGGCCAGAAAGTGGTCCAAATATCCACTTGCAGATTCTACAAAAAGAGTGTTTGAAAGCTGAACTATGAAAGCAAGGTTCAACTCTGTGAGTTGAATGCAAACATCACAAAGAAGTTTCTCAGAATGCTTCCGTGTAGTTCTGGGAAGTTTATCCCGTTTCCAACGAAATCCTCAGAGAAGTCCAAATATCCACTTGCAGATTCTACAGAAAGTGTGTTTGGAAACTGCTCCATCTAAAGGAATGTTCAGCTCTGTTAGTTCAATGCAATGATCACTAAGAATTGTCTGTGAATGCTTCCGTTTGGTTTTTAGATGAAGTTATTTCCTTTACTACAGTAGGCCTCAAAGCAGTCCAAATCTCCAATCGCAGATTCTACAAAAAGATTGTTTACAACCTGCTCTATCTATAGGAATGTTCAACTCTGTGAGTCGAATGCAATCATCACAAAGTAGTTTCTGAGAATGCTTCCATCTAGTTTTTATGTGAAGATTTTCCTTTTCCACCACAGACCTCAAAGCCCTCCAAATGTCCACTTGCAGATTCTAGAAAAAGAGGGTTTCAGAGCTGCTCTGTCAAGAGGAAAGTTCAATTCTTGAAGTGGAACACAAACATCACAAAGTAGTTTCTGAGAATGCTTCTGTTTAGTTTTTCTGTGAAGATGAACCCGTTTCCAACGAAATCTTCACAGAGGTCCCCATATCAACTTGCAGAATCCAAAGAAAGAGAGTTTCAAAAGTGCTACATCAACAGGATTGTTCACCTCTGTGAGTTGAATGCAGTCATCACAGGAAACATTCTGAGAATGCTTCTGTCTAGGTTTGATGTGAAGATATACCCGTTTCGAAGGAAGGCCACAAAGTGGTCCAAATATCCACTTGCAGATTCTACAAAAAGAGTGTTTGAAAGCTGAACTATGAAAGCAAGGTTCAACTCTGTGAGTTGAATGCAAACATCACAAAGAAGTTTCTCAGCATGCTTCCGTGTAGTTCTGGGAAGTTTATCCCGTTTCCAACGAAATCCTCAGAGAGGTCCAAATATCCACTTGCAGATTCTACAGAAAGTGGGTTTGGAAACTGCGCCATCTAAAGCAATGTTCAGCTCTGTTAGTTCAATGCAATGATCACTAAGAATTGTCTGTGAATGCTTCCGTTTGGTTTTTAGATGAAGTTATTTCCTTTACTACAGTAGGCCTCAAAGCAGTCCAAATCTCCAATCGCAGATTCTACAAAAAGATTGTTTACAACCTGCTCTATCTATAGGAATGTTCAACTCTGTGAGTCGAATGCAATCATCACAAAGTAGTTTCTGAGAATGCTTCCATCTAGTTTTTATGTGAAGATTTTCCTTTTCCACCACAGGCCTCAAAGCCCTCCAAATGTCCACTTGCAGATTCTAGAATAAGAGGGTTTCAGAGCTGCTCTGTCAAGAGGAAAGTTCAATTCTTGAAGTGGAACACAAACATCACAAAGCAGTTTCTGAGAATGCTTCTGTTTAGTTTTTCTGTGAAGATGAACCCGTTTCCAACGAAATCTTCACAGAGGTCCACATATCCACTTGCAGAATCCAAAGAAAGAGAGTTTCAAAACTGCTCCATCAGCAGGATTGTTCACCTCTGTGAGTTGAATGCAGTCATCACAGGAAACATTCTGAGAATGCTTCTGTCTAGGTTTGATGTGAAGATATACCCGTTTCGAAGGAAGGCCACAAAGTGGTCCAAATATCCACTTGCAGATTCCACAAAAAGAGTGTTTGAAAGCTGAACTATGAAAGCAAGGTTCAACTCTGTGAGTTGAATGCAAACATCACAAAGAAGTTTCTCACAATGCTTCCGTGTAGTTCTGGGAAGTTTATCCCGTTTCCAACGAAATCCTCAGAGAAGTCCAAATATCCACTTGCAGATTCTACAGAAAGTGTGTTTGGAAACTGCTCCATCTAAAGGAATGTTCAGCTCTGTTAGTTCAATGCAATGATCACTAAGAATTGTCTGTGAATGCTTCCGTTTGGTTTTTAGATGAAGTTATTTCCTTTACTACAGTAGGCCTCAAAGCAGTCCAAATCTCCAATCGCAGATTCTACAAAAAGATTGTTTACAACCTGCTCTATCTATAGGAATGTTCAACTCTGTGAGTCGAATGCAATCATCACAAAGTAGTTTCTGAGAATGCTTCCATCTAGTTTTTATGTGAAGATTTTCCTTTACCACCACAGGCCTCAAAGCCCTCCAAATGTCCACTTGCAGATTCTAGAAAAAGAGGGTTTCAGAGCTGCTCTGTCAAGAGGAAAGTTCAATTCCTGAAGTGGAACACAAACATCACAAAGCAGTTTCTGAGAATGCTCCTGTTTAGTTTTTCTGTGAAGATGAACCCGTTTCCAACGAAATCTTCACAGAGGTCCACATATCCACTTGCAGAATCCAAAGAAAGAGAGTTTCAAAACTGCTCCATCAGCAGGATTGTTCACCTCTGTGGGTTGAATGCAGTCATCAGAGGAAACATTCTGAGAATGCTTCTGTCTAGGTTTGATGTGAAGATATACCCGTTTCGAAGGAAGGCCACAAAGTGGTCCAAATATCCACTTGCAGATTCTACAAAAAGAGTGTTTGAAAGCTGAACTATGAAAGCAAGGTTCAACTCTGTGAGTTGAATGCAAACATCACAAAGAAGTTTCTCACAATGCTTCCGTGTAGTTCTGGGAAGTTTATCCCGTTTCCAACGAAATCCTCAGAGAGGTCCAAATATCCACTTGCAGATTCTACAGAAAGTGTGTTTGGAAACTGCTCCATCTAAAGGAATGTTCAGCTCTGTTAGTTCAATGCAATGATCACTAAGAATTGTCTGTGAATGCTTCCGTTTGGTTTTTAGATGAAGTTATTTCCTTTACTACAGTAGGCGTCAAAGCAGTCCAAATCTCCAATCGCAGATTCTACAAAAAGATTGTTTACAACCTGCTCTATCTATAGGAATGTTCAACTCTGTGAGTCGAATGCAATCATCACAAAGTAGTTTCTGAGAATGCTTCCATCTAGTTTTTATGTGAAGATTTTCGTTTTCCACCACAGGCCTCAAAGCCCTCCAAATGTCCACTTGCAGATTCTAGAAAAAGAGGGTTTCAGAGCTGCTCTGTCAAGAGGAAAGTTCAATTCCTGAAGTGGAACACAAACATCACAAAGCAGTTTCTGAGAATTCTTCTGTTTAGTTTTTCTGTGAAGATGAACCCGTTTCCAACGAAATCTTCACAGAGGTCCACATATCCACATGCAGAATCCAAAGAAAGAGAGTTTCAAAACTGCTCCATCAGCAGGATTGTTCACCTCTGTGAGTTGAATGCAGTCATCACAGGAAACATTCTGAGAATGCTTCTGTCAATGTTTGATGTGAAGATATACCCGTTTCGAAGGAAGGCCACAAAGTGGTCCAAATATCCACTTGCAGATTCTACAAAAAGAGTGTTTGAAAGCTGAACTATGAAAGCAAGGTTCAACTCTGTGAGTTGAATGCAAACATCACAAAGAAGTTTCTCAGAATGCTTCCCTGTAGTTCTGGGAAGTTTATCCCGTTTCCAACGAAATCCTCAGAGAAGTCCAAATATCCACTTGCAGATTCTACAGAAAGTGTGTTTGGAAACTGCTCCATCTAAAGGAATGTTCAGCTCTGTTAGTTCAATCCAATGATCACTAAGAATTGTCTGTGAATGCTTCCGTTTGGTTTTTAGATGAAGTTATTTCCTTTACTACAGTAGGCCTCAAAGCAGTCCAAATCTCCAATCGCAGATTCTACAAAAAGATTGTTTACAACCTGCTCTATCTATAGGAATGTTCAACTCTGTGAGTCGAATGCAATCAACACAAAGTAGTTTCTGAGAATGCTTCCATCTAGTTTTTATGTGAAGATTTTCCTTTTCCACCACAGGCCTCAAAGCCCTCCAAATGTCCACTTGCAGATTCTAGAAAAAGAGGGTTTCAGAGCTGCTCTGTCAAGAGGAAAGTTCAATTCTTGAAGTGGAACACAAACATCACAAAGTAGTTTCTGAGAATGCTTCTGTTTAGTTTTTCTGTGAAGATGAACCCGTTTCCAACGAAATCTTCACAGAGGTCCACATATCAACTTGCAGAATCCAAAGAGAGAGAGTTTCAAAAGTGCCCCATCAACAGGATTGTTCACCTCTGTGAGTTGAATGCAGTCATCACAGGAAACATTCTGAGAATGCTTCTGTCTAGGTTTGATGTGAAGATATACCCGTTTCGAAGGAAGGCCACAAAGTGGTCCAAATATCCACTTGCAGATTCTACAAAAAGAGTGTTTGAAAGCTGAACTATGAAAGCAAGGTTCAACTCTGTGAGTTGAATGCAAACATCACAAAGAAGTTTCTCACAATGCTTCCGTGTAGTTCTGGGAAGTTTATCCCGTTTCCAACGAAATCCTCAGAGAAGTCCACATATCCACTTGCAGATTCTACAGAAAGTGTGTTTGGAAACTGCTCCATCTAAAGGAATGTTCAGCTCTGTTAGTTCAATGCAATGATCACTAAGAATTGTCTGTGAATGCTTCCGTTTGGTTTTTAGATGAAGTTATTTCCTTTACTACAGTAGGCCTCAAAGCAGTCCAAATCTCCAATCGCAGATTCTACAAAAAGATTGTTTACAACCTGCTCTATCTGTAGGAATGTTCAACTCTGTGAGTCGAATGCAATCATCACAAAGTAGTTTCTGAGAATGCTTCCATCTAGTTTTTATGTGAAGATTTTCCTTTTCCACCACAGGCCTCAAAGCCCTCCAAATGTCCACTTGCAGATTCTAGAAAAAGAGGGTTTCAGAGCTGCTCTGTCAGGAGGAAAGTTCAATTCTTGAAGTGGAACACAAACATCACAAAGCAGTTTCTGAGAATGCTTCTGTTTAGTTTTTCTGTGAAGATGAACCCGTTTCCAACGAAATCTTCACAGAGGTCCACATATCCACTTGCAGAATCCAAAGAAAGGGAGTTTCAAAACTGCTCCATCAGCAGGATTGTTCACCTCTGTGAGTTGAATGCAGTCATCACAGGAAACATTCTGAGAATGCTTCTGTCTAGGTTTGATGTGAAGATATACCCGTTTCGAAGGAAGGCCACAAAGTGGTCCAAATATCCACTTGCAGATTCTACAAAAAGAGTGTTTGAAAGCTGAACTATGAAAGCAAGGTTCAACTCTGTGAGTTGAATGCAAACATCACAAAGAAGTTTCTCAGAATGCTTCCGTGTAGTTCTGGGAAGTTTATCCCCTTTCCAACGAAATCCTCAGAGAGGTCCAAATATCCACTTGCAGATTCTACAGAAAGTGTGTTTGGAAACTGCGCCATCTAAAGGAATGTTCAGCTCTGTTAGTTCAATGCAATGATCACTAAGAATTGTCTGTGAATGCTTCCGTTTGGTTTTTAGATGAAGTTATTTCCTTTACTACAGTAGGCCTCAAAGCAGTCCAAATCTCCAATCGCAGATTCTACAAAAAGATTGTTTACAACCTGCTCTATCTATAGGAATGTTCAACTCTGTGAGTCGAATGCAATCATCACAAAGTAGTTTCTGAGAATGCTTCCATCTAGTTTTTATGTGAAGATTTTCCTTTTCCACCACAGGCCTCAAAGCCCTCCAAATGTCCACTTGCAGATTCTAGAAAAAGAGGGTTTCAGAGCTGCTCTGTCAAGAGGAAAGTTCAATTCTTGAAGTGGAACACAAACATCACAAAGTAGTTTCTGAGAATGCTTCTGTTTAGTTTTTCTGTGAAGATGAACCCGTTTCCAACGAAATCTTCACAGAGGTCCCCATATCAACTTGCAGAATCCAAAGAAAGAGAGTTTCAAAAGTGCTACATCAACAGGATTGTTCACCTCTGTGAGTTGAATGCAGTCATCACAGGAAACATTCTGAGAATGCTTCTGTCTAGGTTTGATGTGAAGATATACCCTTTTCAAAGGAAGGCCACAAAGTGGTCCAAATATCCACTTGCAGATTCTACAAAAAGAGTGTTTGAAAGCTGAACTATGAAAGCAAGGTTCAACTCTGTGAGTTGAATGCAAACATCACAAAGAAGTTTCTCACAATGCTTCCGTGTAGTTCTGGGAAGATTATCCCGTTTCCAACGAAATCCTCAGAGAAGTCCAAATATCCACTTGCAGATTCTACAGAAAGTGTGTTTGGAAACTGCTCCGTCTCAAGGAATATTCAGCTCTGTTAGTTCAATCCAATGATCACTAAGAATTGTCTGTGAATGCTTCCGTTTGGTTTTTAGATGAAGTTATTTCCTTTACTACAGTAGGCCTCAAAGCAGTCCAAATCTCCAATCGCAGATTCTACAAAAAGATTGTTTACAACCTGCTCTATCTATAGGAATGTTCAACTCTGTGAGTCGAATGCAATCATCACAAAGTAGTTTCTGAGAATGCTTCCATCTAGTTCTTATGTGAAGATTTTCCTTTTCCACCACAGGCCTCAAAGCCCTCCAAATGTCCACTAGCAGATTCTAGAAAAAGAGGGTTTCAGAGCTGCTCTGTCAAGAGGAAAGTTCAATTCTTGAAGTGGAACACAAACATCACAAAGCAGTTTCTGAGAATGCTCCTGTATAGTTTTCCTGTGAAGATGAACCCGTTTCCAACGAAATCTTCACAGAGGTCCACATATCCACTTGCAGAATCCAAAGAAAGAGAGTTTCAAAACTGCTCCATCAACAGGATTGTTCACCTCTGTGAGTTGAATGCAGTCATCACAGGAAACATTCTGAGAATGCTTCTGTCTAGGTTTGATGTGAAGATATACCCGTTTCGAAGGAAGGCCACAAAGTGGTCCAAATATCCACTTGCAGATTCTACAAAAAGAGTGTTTGAAAGCTGAACTATGAAAGCAAGGTTCAACTCTGTGAGTTGAATGCAAACATCACAAAGAAGTTTCTCAGAATGCTTCCGTGTAGTTCTGGGAAATTTAGCCCGTTTCCAACGAAATCCTCAGAGAGGTCCAAATATCCACTTGCAGATTCTACAGAAAGTGTGTTTGGAAACTGCTCCATCTAAAGGAATGTTCAGCTCTGTTAGTTCAATCCAATGATCACTAAGAATTGTCTGTGAATGCTTCCGTTTGGTTTTTAGATGAAGTTATTTCCTTTACTACAGTAGGCCTCAAAGCAGTCCAAATCTCCAATCGCAGATTCTACAAAAAGATTGTTTACAACCTGCTCTATCTATAGGAATGTTCAACTCTGTGAGTCGAATGCAATCATCACATAGTAGTTTCTGAGAATGCTTCCATCTAGTTTTTATGTGAAGATTTTCCTTTTCCACCACAGGCCTCAAAGCCCTCCAAATGTCCACTTGCAGATTCTAGAAAAAGAGGGTTTCAGAGCTGCTCTGTCAAGAGGAAAGTTCAATTCCTGAAGTGGAACACAAACATCACAAAGCAGTTTCTGAGAATGCTCCTGTTTAGTTTTTCTGTGAAGATGAACCCGTTTCCAACGAAATCTTCACAGAGGTCCACATATCCACTTGCAGAATCCAAAGAAAGAGAGTTTCAAAACTGCTCCAACAGCAGGATTGTTCACCTCTGTGAGTTGAATGCAGTCATCACAGGAAACATTCTGAGAATGCTTCTGTCTAGGTTTGATGTGAAGATATACCCGTTTCGAAGGAAGGCCACAAAGTGGTCCAAATATCCACTTGCAGATTCTACAAAAAGAGTGTTTGAAAGCTGAACTATGAAAGCAAGGTTCAACTCTGTGAGTTGAATGCAAACATCACAAAGAAGTTTCTCACAATGCTTCCGTGTAGTTCTGGGAAGTTTATCCCGTTTCCAACGAAATCCTCAGAGAGGTCCAAATATCCACTTGCAGATTCTACAGAAAGTGTGTTTGGAAACTGCGCCATCTAAAGGAATGTTCAGCTCTGTTAGTTCAATGCAATGATCACTAAGAATTGTCTGTGAATGCTTCCGTTTGGTTTTTAGGTGAAGTTATTTCCTTTACTACAGTAGGCCTCAAAGCAGTCCAAATCTCCAATCGCAGATTCTACAAAAAGATTGTTTACAACCTGCTCTATCTATAGGAATGTTCAACTCTGTGAGTCGAATACAATCATCACAAAGTAGTTTCTGAGAATGCTTCCATCTAGTTTTTATGTGAAGATTTTCCTTTTCCACCACAGGCCTCAAAGCCCTCCAAATGTCCACTTGCAGATTCTAGAAAAAGAGGGTTTCAGAGCTGCTCTGTCAAGAGGAAAGTTCAATTCTTGAAGTGGAACACAAACATCACAAAGTAGTTTCTGAGAATGCTTCTGTTTAGTTTTTCTGTGAAGATGAACCCATTTCCAACGAAATCTTCACAGAGGTCCACATATCAACTTGCAGAATCCAAAGAAAGAGAGTTTCAAAAGTGCTCCATCAACAGGATTGTTCACCTCTGTGAGTTGAATGCAGTCATCACAGGAAACATTCTGAGAATGCTTCCTGTCTAGGTTTGATGTGAAGATATACCCGTTTCGAAGGAAGGCCACAAAGTGGTCCAAATATCCACTTGCAGATTCTACAAAAAGAGTGTTTGAAAGCTGAACTATGAAAGCAAGGTTCAACTCTGTGAGTTGAATGCAAACATCACAAAGAAGTTTCTCAGAATGCTTCCGTGTAGTTCTGGGAAGTTTATCCCGTTTCCAACGAAATCCTCAGAGAAGTCCAAATATCCATTTGCAGATTCTACAGAAAGTGTGTTTGGAAACTGCTCCATCTAAAGGAATGTTCAGCTCTGTTAGTTCAATCCAATGATCACTAAGAATTGTCTGTGAATGCTTCCGTTTGGTTTTTAGATGAAGTTATTTCCTTTACTACAGTAGGCCTCAAAGCAGTCCAAATCTCCAATCGCAGATTCTACAAAAAGATTGTTTACAACCTGCTCTATCTATAGGAATGTTCAACTCTGTGAGTCGAATGCAATCATCACAAAGTAGTTTCTGAGAATGCTTCCATCTAGTTTTTATGTGAAGATTTTCCTTTTCCACCACAGGCCTCAAAGCCCTCCAAATGTCCACTTGCAGATTCTAGAAAAAGAGGGTTTCAGAGCTACTCTGTCAAGAGGAAAGTTCAATTCTTGAAGTGGAACACAAACATCACAAAGCAGTTTCTGAGAATGCTTCTGTTTAGTTTTTCTGTGAAGATGAACCCGTTTCCAACGAAATCTTCACAGAGGTCGACATATCAACTTGCAGAATCCAAAGAAAGAGAGTTTCAAAACTGCTCCATCAACAGGATTGTTCACCTCTGTGAGTTGAATGCAGTCATCACAGGAAACATTCTGAGAATGCTTCTGTCTAGGTTTGATGTGAAGATATACCCGTTTCGAAGGAAGGCCACAAAGTGGTCCAAATATCCACTTGCAGATTCTACAAAAAGAGTGTTTGAAAGCTGAACTATGAAAGCAAGGTTCAACTCTGTGAGTTGAATGTAAACATCACAAAGAAGTTTCTCACAATGCTTCCGTGTAGTTCTGGGAAGTTTATCCCGTTTCCAACGAAATCCTCAGAGAGGTCCAAATATCCACTTGCAGATTCTACAGAAAGTGTGTTTGGAAACTGCGCCATCTAAAGGAATGTTCAGCTCTGTTAGTTCAATGCAATGATCACTAAGAATTGTCTGTGAATGCTTCCGTTTGGTTTTTAGATGAAGTTATTTCCTTTACTACAGTAGGTCTCAAAGCAGTCCGAATCTCCAATCGCAGATTCTACAAAAAGATTGTTTACAACCTGCTCTATCTATAGGAATGTTCAACTCTGTGAGTCGAATGCAATCATCACAAAGTAGTTTCTGAGAATGCTTCCATCTAGTTTTTATGTGAAGATTTTCCTTTTCCACCACAGGCCTCAAAGCCCTCCAAATGTCCACTTGCAGATTCTAGAAAAAGAGGGTTTCAGAGCTGCTCTGTCAAGAGGAAAGTTCAATTCTTGAAGTGGAACACAAACATCACAAAGCAGTTTCTGAGAATGCTTCTGTTTAGATTTTCTGTGAAGATGAACCCGTTTCCAACGAAATCTTCACAGAGGTCCACATATCAACTTGCAGAATCCAAAGAAAGAGAGTTTCAACACTGCTCCATCAACAGGATTGTTCACCTCTGTGAGTTGAATGCAGTCATCACAGGAAACATTCTGAGAATGCTTCTGTCTAGGTTTGATGTGAAGATATACCCGTTTCGAAGGAAGGCCACAAAGTGGTCCAAATATCCACTTGCAGATTCTACAAAAAGAGTGTTTGAAAGCTGAACTATGAAAGCAAGGTTCAACTCTGTGAGTTGAATGCAAACATCACAAAGAAGTTTCTCAGAATGCTTCCGTGTAGTTCTGGGAATTTTATCCCTTTTCCAACGAAATCCTCAGAGAAGTCCAAATATCCACTTGCAGATTCTACAGAAAGTGTGTTTGTAAACTGCTCTATCTAAAGGAATGTTCAGCTCTGTTTGTTCAATCCAATGATCACTAAGAATTGTCTGTGAATGCTTCCGTTTGGTTTTTAGATGAAGTTATTTCCTTTACTACAGTAGGCCTCAAAGCAGTCCAAATCTCCAATCGCAGATTCTACAAAAAGATTGTTTACAACCTGCTCTATCTATAGGAATGTTCAACTCTGTGAGTCGAATGCAATCATCACAAAGTAGTTTCTGAGAATGCTTCCATCTAGTTTTTATGTGAAGATTTTCCTTTTCCACCACAGGCCTCAAAGCCCTCCAAATGTCCACTTGCAGATTCTAGAAAAAGAGGGTTTCAGAGCTGCTCTTTCAAGAGGAAAGTTCAATTCCTGAAGTGGAACACAAACATCACAAAGCAGTTTCTGAGAATGCTTCTGTTTAGTTTTTCTGTGAAGATGAACCCGTTTCCAACGAAATCTTCACAGAGGTCCACATATCCACTTGCAGAATCCAAAGAAAGAGAGTTTCAAAACTGCTCCATCAGCAGGATTGTTCACCTCTGTGAGTTGAATGCAGTCATCACAGGAAACATTCTGAGAATGCTTCTGTCTAGGTTTGATGTGAAGATATACCCTTTTCAAAGGAAGGCCACAAAGTGGTCCAAATATCCACTTGCAGATTCTACAAAAAGAGTGTTTGAAAGCTGAACTATGAAAGCAAGGTTCAACTCTGTGAGTTGAATGCAAACATCACAAAGAAGTTTCTCACAATGCTTCCGTGTAGTTCTGGGAAGTTTATCCTGTTTCCAACGAAATCCTCAGAGAGGTCCAAATATCCACTTGCAGATTCTACAGAAAGTGTGTTTGGAAACTGCGCCATCTAAAGGAATGTTCAGCTCTGTTAGTTCAATGCAATGATCACTAAGAATTGTCCGTGAATGGTTCCGTTTGGTTTTTAGATGAAGTTATTTCCTTTACTACAGTAGGCCTCAAAGCAGTCCAAATCTCCAATCGCAGATTCTACAAAAAGATTGTTTACAACCTGCTCTATCTATAGGAATGTTCAACTCTGTGAGTCGAATGCAATCATCACAAAGTAGTTTCTGAGAATGCTTCCATCTAGTTTTTATGTGAAGAGTTTCCTTTTCCACCACAGGCTTCAAAGCCCTCCAAATGTCCACTTGCAGATTCTAGAATAAGAGGGTTTCAGAGCTGCTCTGTCAAGAGGAAAGTACAATTCCTGAAGTGGAACACAAACATCACAAAGCAGTTTCTGAGAATGCTTCTGTTTAGTTTTTCTGTGAAGATGAACCCGTTTCCAACGAAATCTTCACAGAGGTCCACATATCCACTTGCAGAATCCAAAGAAAGAGAGTTTCAAAACTGCTCCATCAGCAGGATTGTTCACCTCTGTGAGTTGAATGCAGTCATCACAGGAAACATTCTGAGAATGCTTCTGTCTAGGTTTGATGTGAAGATATACCCGTTTCGAAGGAAGGCCACAAAGTGGTCCAAATATCCACTTGCAGATTCTACAAAAAGAGTGTTTGAAAGCTGAACTATGAAAGCAAGGTTCAACTCTGTGAGTTGAATGCAAACATCACAAAGAAGTTTCTCAGAATGCTTCCGTGTAGTTCTGGGAAGTTTATCCCTTTTCCAACGATATCCTCAGAGAGGTCCAAATATCCACTTGCAGATTCTACAGAAAGTGTGTTTGGAAACTGCGCCATCTAAAGCAATGTTCAGCTCTGTTAGTTCAATGCAATGATCACTAAGAATTGTCTGTGAATGCTTCCGTTTGGTTTTTAGATGAAGTTATTTCCTTTACTACAGTAGGCCTCAAAGCAGTCCAAATCTCCAATCGCAGATTCTACAAAAAGATTGTTTACAACCTGCTCTATCTATAGGAATGTTCAACTCTGTGAGTCGAATGCAATCATCACAAAGTAGTTTCTGAGAATGCTTCCATCTAGTTTTTATGTGAAGATTTTCCTTTTCCACCACAGGCCTCAAAGCCCTCCAAATGTCCACTTGCAGATTCTAGAAAAAGAGGGTTTCAGAGCTGCTCTGTCAAGAGGAAAGTTCAATTCTTGAAGTGGAACACAAACATCACAAAGCAGTTTCTGAGAATGCTCCTGTTTAGTTTTTCTGTGAAGATGTACCCGTTTCCAACGAAATCTTCACAGAGGTCCACATATCCACTTGCAGAATCCAAAGAAAGAGAGTTTCAAAACTGCTCCAACAGCAGGATTGTTCACCTCTGTGAGTTGAATGCAGTCATCACAGGAAACATTGTGAGAATGCTTCTGTCTAGGTTTGATGTGAAGATATACCCGTTTCGAAGGAAGGCCACAAAGTGGTCCAAATATCCACTTGCAGATTCTACAAAAAGAGTGTTTGAAAGCTGAACTATGAAAGCAAGGTTCAACTCTGTGAGTTGAATGCAAACATCACAAAGAAGTTTCTCACAATGCTTCCGTGTAGTTCTGATAAGTTTATCCCGTTTCCAACGAAATCCACAGAGAAATCAAAATATCCACTTGCAGATTCTACAGAAAGTGTGTTTGGAAACTGCGCCATCTAAAGGAATGTTCAGCTCTGTTAGTTCAATCCAATGATCACTAAGAATTGTCTGTGAATGCTTCCGTTTGGTTTTTAGATGAAGTTATTTCCTTTACTACAGTAGGCCTCAAAGCAGTCCAAATCTCCAATCGCAGATTCTACAAAAAGATTGTTTACAACCTGCTCTATCTATAGGAATGTTCAACTCTGTGAGTCGAATGCAATCATCACAAAGTAGTTTCTGAGAATGCTTCCATCTAGTTTTTATGTGAAGATTTTCCTTTTCCACCACAGGCCTCAAAGCCCTCCAAATGTCCACTTGCAGATTTTAGAATAAGAGGGTTTCAGAGCTGCTCTGTCAAAAGGAAAGTTCAATTCTTGAAGTGGAACACAAACATCACAAAGCAGTTTCTGAGAATGCTTCTGTTTAGTTTTTCTGTGAAGATGAACCCGTTTCCAACGAAATCTTCACAGAGGTCCACATATCCACTTGCAGAATCCAAAGAAAGAGAGTTTCAAAACTGCTCCATCAGCAGGATTGTTCACCTCTGTGAGTTGAATGCAGTCATCACAGGAAACATTCTGAGAATGCTTCTGTCTAGGTTTGATGTGAAGATATACCCGTTTCGAAGGAAGGCCACAAAGTGGTCCAAATATCCACTTGCAGATTCTACAAAAAGAGTGTTTGAAAGCTGAACAATGAAAGCAAGGTTCAACTCTGTGAGTTGAATGCAAACATCACAAAGAAGTTTCTCAGAATGCTTCCGTGTAGTTCTGGGAAGTTTATCCCGTTTCCAACGAAATCCTCAGAGAGGTCCAAATATCCACTTGCAGATTCTACAGAAAGTGTGTTTGGAAACTGCGCCATCTAAAGGAATGTTCAGCTCAGTTATTTCAAACCAATGATCACTAAGAATTGTCTGTGAATGCTTCCGTTTGGTTTTTAGATGAAGTTATTTCCTTTACTACAGTAGGCCTCAAAGCAGTCCAAATCTCCAATCGCAGATTCTACAAAAAGATTGTTTACAACCTGCTCTATCTATAGGAATGTACAACTCTGTGAGTCGAATGCAATCATCACAAAGTAGTTTCTGAGAATGCTTCCATCTAGTTTGTATGTGAAGATTTTCCTTTTCCACCACAGGCCTCAAAGCCCTCCAAATGTCCACTTGCAGATTCTAGAATAAGAGGGTTTCAGAGCTGCTCTGTCAAGAGGAAAGTTCAGTTCCTGAAGTGGAACGCAAACATCACAAAGCAGTTTCTGAGAATGCTTCTGTTTAGTTTTTCTGTGAAGATGAACCCGTTTCCAACGAAATCTTCACAGAGGTCCACATATCCACTTGCAGAATCCAAAGAAAGAGAGTTGCAAAACTGCTCCATTAGCAGGATTGTTCACCTCTGTGAGTTGAATGCAGTCATCACAGGAAACATTCTGAGAATGCTTCTGTCTAGGTTTGATGTGAAGATATACCCGTTTCGAAGGAAGGCCACAAAGTGGTCCAAATATCCACTTGCAGATTCTACAAAAAGAGTGTTTGAAAGCTGAACTAAGAAAGCAAGGTTCAACTCTGTGAGTTGAATGCAAACATCACAAAGAAGTTTCTCAGAATGCTTCCGTGTAGTTCTGGGAAGTTTATCCCGTTTCCAACGAAATCCTCAGAGAGGTCCAAATATCCACTTGCAGATTCTACAGAAAGTGTGTTTGGAAACTGCACCATCTAAAGGAATGTTCAGCTCTGTTAGTTCAATCCAATGATCACTAAGAATTGTCTGTGAATGCTTCCGTTTGGTTTTTAGATGAAGTTATTTCCTTTACTACAGTAGGCCTCAAAGCAGTCCAAATCTCCAATCGCAGATTCTACAAAAAGATTGTTTACAACCTGCTCTATCTATAGGAATGTTCAACTCTGTGAGTCGAATGCAATCATCACAAAGTAGTTTCTGAGAATGCTTCCATCTAGTTTTTATGTGAAGATTTTCCTTTTCCACCACAGGCCTCAAAGCCCTCCAAATGTCCACTTGCAGATTCTAGAAAAAGAGGGTTTCAGAGCTGCTCTGTCAAGAGGAAAGTTCAATTCTTGAAGTGGAACACAAACATCACAAAGCAGTTTCTGAGAATGCTCCTGTTTAGTTTTTCTGTGAAGATGAACCCGTTTCCAACGAAATCTTCACAGAGGTCCACATATCCACTTGCAGAATCCAAAGATAGAGAGTTTCAAAACTGCTCCAACAGCAGGATTGTTCACCTCTGTGAGTTGAATGCAGTCATCACAGGAAACATTCTGAGAATGCTTCTGTCTAGGTTTGATGTGAAGATATACCCGTTTCGAAGGAAGGCCACAAAGTGGTCCAAATATCCACTTGCAGATTCTACAAAAAGAGTGTTTGAAAGCTGAACTATGAAAGCAAGGTTCAACTCTGTGAGTTGAATGCAAACATCACAAAGAAGTTTCTCACAATGCTTCCGTGTAGTTCTGGGAAGTTTATCCCGTTTCCAACGAAATCCTCAGAGAGGTCCAAATATCCACTTGCAGATTCTACAGAAAGTGTGTTTGGAAACTGCGCCATCTAAAGGAATGTTCAGCTCTGTTAGTTCAATGCCATGATCACTAAGAATTGTCTGTGAATGCTTCCGTTTGGTTTTTAGATGAAGTTATTTCCTTTACTACAGTAGGCCTCAAAGCAGTCCAAATCTCCAATCGCAGATTCTACAAAAAGATTGTTTACAACCTGCTCTATCTATAGGAATGTTCAACTCTGTGAGTCGAATGCAATCATCACAAAGTAGTTTCTGAGAATGCTTCCATCTAGTTTTTATGGGAAGATTTTCCTTTTCCACCACAGGCCTCAAAGCCCTCCAAATGTCCACTTGCAGATTCTAGAAAAAGAGGGTTTCAGAGCTGCTCTATCAAGAGGAAAGTTCAATTCTTGAAGTGGAACACAAACATCACAAAGCAGTTTCTGAGAATGCTTCTGTTTAGTTTTTCTGTGAAGATGAACCCGTTTCCAACGAAATCTTCACAGAGGTCCACATATCAACTTGCAGAATCCAAAGAAAGAGAGTTTCAAAACTGCTCCATCAACAGGATTGTTCACCTCTGTGAGTTGAATGCAGTCATCACAGGAAACATTCTGAGAATGCTTCTGTCTAGGTTTGATGTGAAGATATACCCGTTTCGAAGGAAGGCCACAAAGTGGTCCAAATATCCACTTGCAGATTCTACAAAAAGAGTGTTTGAAAGCTGAACTATGAAAGCAAGGTTCAACTCTGTGAGTTGAATGCAAACATCACAAAGAAGTTTCTCAGAATGCTTCCGTGTAGTTCTGGGAAGTTTATCCCGTTTCCAACGAAATCCTCAGAGAGGTCCAAATATCCACTTGCAGATTCTACAGAAAGTGTGTTTGGAAACTGCGCCATCTAAAGGAATGTTCAGCTCTGTTAGTTCAATCCAATGATCACTAAGAATTGTCTGTGAATGCTTCCGTTTGGTTTTTAGATGAAGTTATTTCCTTTACTACAGTAGGCCTCAAAGCAGTCCAAATCTCCAATCGCAGATTCTACAAAAAGATTGTTTACAACCTGCTCTATCTATAGGAATGTTCAACTCTGTGAGTCGAATGCAATCATCACAAAGTAGTTTCTGAGAATGCTTCCATCTAGTTTTTATGTGAAGATTTTCCTTTTCCACCACAGGCCTCAAAGCCCTCCAAATGTCCACTTGCAGATTCTAGAAAAAGAGGGTTTCAGAGCTGCTCTGTCAACAGGAAAGTTCAATTCTTGAAGTGGAACACAAACATCACAAAGTAGTTTCTGAGAATGCTTCTGTTTAGTTTTTCTGTGAAGATGAACCCGTTTCCAATGAAATCTTCACAGAGGTCCACATATCAACTTGCGGAATCCAAAGAAAGAGAGTTTCAAAAGTGCTCCATCAACAGGATTGTTCACCTCTGTGAGTTGAATGCAGTCATCACAGGAAACATTCTGAGAATGCTTCTGTCTAGGTTTGATGTGAAGATATACCCGTTTCGAAGGAAGGCCACAAAGTGGTCCAAATATCCACTTGCAGATTCCACAAAAAGAGTGTTTGAAAGCTGAACTATGAAAGCAAGGTTCAACTCTGTGAGTTGAATGCAAACATCACAAAGAAGTTTCTCACAATGCTTTCCGTGTAGTTTTGGTAAGTTTATCCCGTTTCCAACGAAATCCTCAGAGAAGTCCAAATATCCACTTGCAGATTCTACAGAAAGTGGGTTTGGAAACTGCGCCATCTAAAGGAATGTTCAGCTCTGTTAGTTCAATCCAATGATCACTAAGAATTTTCTGTGAATGCTTCCGTTTGGTTTTTAGATGAAGTTATTTCCTTTACTGCAGTAGGCCTCAAAGCATTCCAAATCTCGAATCGCAGATTCTACAAAAAGATTGTTTACAACCTGCTCTATCTATAGGAATGTTCAACTCTGTGAGTCGAATGCAATCATCACAAAGTAGTTTCTGAGAATGCTTCCACCTAGTTTTTATGTGAAGATTTTCCTTTTCCACCACAGGCCTCAAAGCCCTCCAAATGTCCACTTGCAGATTCTAGAAAAAGAGGGTTTCAGAGCTGCTCTGTCAAGAGGAAAGTTCAATTCTTGAAGTGGAACACAAACATCACAAAGCAGTTTCTGAGAATGATTCTGTTTAGTTTTTCTGTGAAGATGAACCCGTTTCCAACGAAATCTTCACAGAGGTCCACATATCCACTTGCAGAATCCAAAGAAAGAGAGTTTCAAAACTGCTCCATCAGCAGGATTGTTCACCTCTGTGAGTTGAATGCAGTCATCACAGGAAACATTCTGAGAATGCTTCTGTCTAGGTTTGATGTGAAGATATACCCGTTTCGAAGGAAGGCCACAAAGTGGTCCAAATATCCACTTGCAGATTCTACAAAAAGAGTGTTTGAAAGCTGAACTATGAAAGCAAGGTTCAACCCTGTGAGTTGAATGCAAACATCACAAAGAAGTTTCTCAGAATGCTTCCGTGTAGTTCTGGGAAGTTTATCCCGTTTCCAACGAAATCCTCAGAGAGGTCCAAATATCCACTTGCAGATTCTACAGAAAGTGTGTTTGGAAACTGCTCCATCTAAAGGAATGTTCAGCTCTGTTAGTTCAATCCAATGATCACTAAGAATTGTCTGTGAATGCTTCCGTTTGGTTTTTAGATGAAGTTATTTCCTTTACTACAGTAGGCCTCAAAGCAGTCCAAATCTCCAATCGCAGATTCTACAAAAAGATTGTTTACAACCTGCTCTATCTATAGGAATGTTCAACTCTGTGAGTCGAATGCAATCATCACAAAGTAGTTTCTGAGAATGCTTCCATCTAGTTTTTATGTGAAGATTTTCCTTTTCCACCACAGGCCTCAAAGCCCTCCAAATGTCTACTTGCAGATTCTAGAAAAAGAGGGTTTCAGAGCTGCTCTGTCAAGAGGAAAGTTCAATTCTTGAAGTGGAACACAAACATCACAAAGCAGTTTCTGAGAATGCTTCTGTTTAGTTTTTCTGTGAAGATGAACCCGTTTCCAACGAAATCTTCACAGAGGTCCACATATCAACTTGCAGAATCCAAAGAAAGAGAGTTTCAAAAGTGCTCCATCAACAGGATTGTTCACCTCTGTGAGTTGAATGCAGTCATCACAGGAAACATTCTGAGAATGCTTCTGTCTAGGTTTGATGTGAAGATATACCCGTTTCGAAGGAAGGCCACAAAGTGGTCCAAATATCCACTTGCAGATTCTACAAAAAGAGTGTTTGAAAGCTGCACTATGAAAGCAAGGTTCAACTCTGTGAGTTGAATGCAAACATCACAAAGAAGTTTCTCAGCATGCTTCCGTGTAGTTCTGGGAAGTTTATCCCGTTTCCAACGAAATCCTCAGAGAGGTCCAAATATCCACTTGCAGATTCTACAGAAAGTGGGTTTGGAAACTGCGCCATCTAAAGCAATTTTCAGCTCTGTTTGTTCAATGCAATGATCACTAAGAATTGTCTGTGAATGCTTCCGTTTGGTTTTTAGATGAAGTTATTTCCTTTACTACAGTAGGCCTCAAAGCAGTCCAAATCTCCAATCGCAGATTCTACAGAAAGATTGTTTACAACCTGCTCTATCTATAGGAATGTTCAACTCTGTGAGTCGAATGCAATCATCACAAAGTAGTTTCTGAGAATGCTTCCATCTAGTTTTTATGTGAAGGTTTTCCTTTTCCACCACAGGCCTCAAAGCCCTCCAAATGTCCACTTGCAGATTCTAGAAAAAGAGGGTTTCAGAGCTGCTCTGTCAAGAGGAAAGTTCAATTCTTGAAGTGGAACACAAACATCACAAAGCAGTTTCTGAGAATGCTCCTGTTTAGTTTTTCTGTGAAGATGAACCCGTTTCCAACGAAATCTTCACAGAGGTCCACATATCCACTTGCAGAATCCAAAGAAAGAGAGTTTCAAAACTGCTCCATCAGCAGGATTGTTCACCTCTGTGAGTTGAATGCAGTCATCACAGGAAACATTCTGAGAATGCTTCTGTCTAGGTTTGATGTGAAGATATACCCGTTTCGAAGGAAGGCCACAAAGTGGTCCAAATATCCACTTGCAGATTCTACAAAAAGAGTGTTTGAAAGCTGAACTATGAAACCAAGGTTCAACTCTGTGAGTTGAATGCAAACATCACAAAGAAGTTTCTCAGAATGCTTCCGTGTAGATCTGGGAAGTTTATCCCGTTTCCAACGAAATCCTCAGAGAGGTCCAAATATCCACTTGCAGATTCTACAGAAAGTGTGTTTGGAAACTGCGCCATCTAAAGGAATGTTCAGCTCTGTTAGTTCAATGCAATGATCACTAAGAATTGTCTGTGAATGCTTCCGTTTGGTTTTTAGATGAAGTTATTTCCTTTACTACAGTAGGCCTCAAAGCAGTCCAAATCTCCAATCGCAGATTCTACAAAAAGATTGTTTACAACCTGCTCTACCTATAGGAATGTTCAACTCTGTGAGTCGAATGCAATCATCACAAAGTAGTTTCTGAGAATGCTTCCATCTAGTTTTTATGTGAAGATTTTCCTTTTCCACCACAGGCCTCAAAGCCCTCCAAATGTCCACTTGCAGATTCTAGAAAAAGAGGGTTTCAGAGCTGCTCTGTCAAGAGGAAAGTTCAATTCTTGAAGTGGAACACAAACATCACAAAGCAGTTTCTGAGAATGCTTCTGTTTAGTTTTTCTGTGAAGATGAACCCGTTTCCAACGAAATCTTCACAGAGGTCCACATATCAACTTGCAGAATCCAAAGAAAGAGAGTTTCAAAACTGCTCCATCAACAGGATTGTTCACCTCTGTGAGTTGAATGCAGTCATCACAGGAAACATTCTGAGAATGCTTCTGTCTAGGTTTGATGTGAAGATATACCCGTTTCGAAGGAAGGCCACAAAGTGGTCCAAATATCCACTTGCAGATTCTACAAAAAGAGTGTTTGAAAGCTGAACTATGAAAGCAAGGTTCAACTCTGTGAGTTGAATGCAAACATCACAAAGAAGTTTCTCACAATGCTTCCGTGTAGTTCTGGGAAGTTTATCCCGTTTCCAACGAAATCCTCAGAGAAGTCCAAATATCCACTTGCAGATTCTACAGAAAGTGTGTTTGGAAACTGCTCCACCTAAAGGAATGTTCAGCTCTGTTAGTTCAATCCAATGATCACTAAGAATTGTCTGTGAATGCTTCCGTTTGGTTTTTAGATGAAGTTATTTCCTTTACTACAGTAGGCCTCAAAGCAGTCCAAATCTCCAATCGCAGATTCTACAAAAAGATTGTTTACAACCTGCTCTATCTATAGGAATGTTCAACTCTGTGAGTCGAATGCAATCATCACAAAGTAGTTTCTGAGAATGCTTCCATCTAGTTTTTATGTGAAGATTTTCCTTTTCCACCACAGGCCTCAAAGCCCTCCAAATGTCCACTTGCAGATTCTAGAAAAAGAGGGTTTCAGAGCTGCTCTGTCAAGAGGAAAGTTCAATTCTTGAAGTGGAACACAAACATCACAAAGCAGTTTCTGAGAATGCTCCTGTTTAGTTTTTCTGTGAAGATGAACCCGTTTCCAACGAAATCTTCACAGAGTTCCACATATCAACTTGCAGAATCCAAAGAAAGAGAGTTTCAAAAGTGCTCCATCAACAGGATTGTTCACCTCTGTGAGTTGAATGCAGTCATCACAGGAAACATTCTGAGAATGCTTCTGTCTAGGTTTGATGTGAAGATATACCCGTTTCGAAGGAAGGCCACAAAGTGGTCCAAATATCCACTTGCAGATTCTACAAAAAGAGTGTTTGAAAGCTGAACTATGAAAGCAAGGTTCAACTCTGTGAGTTGAATGCAAACATCACAGAGAAGTTTCTCACAATGCTTCCGTGTAGTTCTGGGAAGTTTATCCCGTTTCCAACGAAATCCTCAGAGAAGTCCAAATATCCACTTGCAGATTCTACAGAAATTGTGTTTGGAAACTGCTCCATCTAAAGGAATGTTCAGCTCTGTTAGTTCAATCCAATGATCACTAAGAATTGTCTGTGAATGCTTCCGTTGGGTTTTTAGATGAAGTTATTTCCTTTACTACAGTAGGCCTCAAAGCAGTCCAAATCTCCAATCGCAGATTCTACAAAAAGATTGTTTACAACCTACTCTATCTATAGGAATGTTCAACTCTGTGAGTCGAATGCAATCATCACAAAGGAGTTTCTGAGAATGCTTCCATCTAGTTTTTATGTGAAGATTTTCCTTTTCCACCACAGGCCTCAAAGCCCTCCAAATGTCCACTTGCAGATTCTAGAAAAAGAGGGTTTCAGAGCTGCTCTTTCAAGAGGAAAGTTCAATTCCTGAAGTGGAACACAAACATCACAAAGCAGTTTCTGAGAATGCTTCTGTTCAGTTTTTCTGTGAAGATGAACCCGTTTCCAACGAAATCTTCACAGAGGTCCACATATCCACTTGCAGAATCCAAAGAAAGAGAGTTTCAAAACTGCTCCATCAGCAGGATTGTTCACCTCTGTGAGTTGAATGCAGTCATCACAGGAAACATTCTGAGAATGCTTCTGTCTAGGTTTGATGTGAAGATATACCCGTTTCGAAGGAAGGCCACAAAGTGGTCCAAATATCCACTTGCAGATTCTACAAAAAGAGTGTTTGAAAGCTGAACTATGAAAGCAAGGTTCAACTCTGTGAGTTGAATGCAAACATCACAAAGAAGTTTCTCAGAATGCTTCCGTGTAGTTCTGGGAAGTTTATCCCGTTTCCAACGAAATCCTCAGAGAGGTCCAAATATCCACTTGCAGATTCTACAGAAAGTGTGTTTGGAAACTGCGCCATCTAAAGGAATGTTCAGCTCTGTTAGTTCAATGCAATGATCACTAAGAATTGTCTGTGAATGCTTCCGTTTGGTTTTTAGATGAAGTTATTTCCTTTACTACAGTAGGCCTCAAAGCAGTCCAAATTTCCAATCGCAGATTCTACAAAAAGATTGTTTACAACCTGCTCTATCTATAGGAATGTTCAACTCTGTGAGTCGAATGCAATCATCACAAAGTAGTTTCTGAGAATGCTTCCATCTAGTTTTTATGTGAAGATTTTCCTTTTCCACCACAGGCCTCAAAGCCCTCCAAATGTCCACTTGCAGATTCTAGAATAAGAGGGTTTCAGAGCTGCTCTGTCAAGAGGAAAGTTCAATTCTTGAAGTGGAACACAAACATAACAAAGCAGTTTCTGAGAATGCTTCTGTTTAGTTTTTCTGTGAAGATGAACCCGTTTCCAACGAAATCTTCACAGAGGTCCACATATCCACTTGCAGAATCCAAAGAAAGAGAGTTTCAAAACTGCTCCATCAGCAGGATTGTTCACCTCTGTGAGTTGAATGCAGTCATCACAGGAAACATTCTGAGAATGCTTCTGTCTAGGTTTGATGTGAAGATATACCCGTTTCGAAGGAAGGCCACAAAGTGGTCCAAATATCCACTTGCAGATTCTACAAAAAGAGTGTTTGAAAGCTGAACTATGAAAGCAAGGTTCAACTCTGTGAGTTGAATGCAAACATCACAAAGAAGTTTCTCAGAATGCTTCCGTGTAGTTCTGGGAAGTTTATCCCGTTTCCAACGAAATCCTCAGAGAAGTCCAAATATCCACTTGCAGATTCTACAGAAAGTGTGTTTGGAAACTGCTCCATCTAAAGGAATGTTCAGCTCTGTTAGTTCAATGCAATGATCACTAAGAATTGTCTGTGAATGCTTCCGTTTGGTTTTTAGATGAAGTTATTTCCTTTACTACAGTAGGCCTCAAAGCAGTCCAAATCTCCAATCGCAGATTCTACAAAAAGATTGTTTACAACCTGCTCTATCTATAGGAATGTTCAACTCTGTGAGTCGAATGCAATCATCACAAAGTAGTTTCTGAGAATGCTTCCATCTAGTTTTTATGTGAAGATATTCCTTTTCCACCACAGGCCTCAAAGCCCTCCAAATGTCCACTTGCAGATTCTAGAAAAAGAGGGTTTCAGAGCTGCTCTGTCAAGAGGAAAGTTCAATTCCTGAAGTGGAACACAAACATCACAAAGCAGTTTCTGAGAATGCTTCTGTTTAGTTTTTCTGTGAAGATGAACCCGTTTCCAACGAAATCTTCACAGAGGTCCACATATCCACTTGCAGAATCCAAAGAAAGAGAGTTTCAAAACTGCTCCATCAGCAGGATTGTTCACCTCTGTGAGTTGAATGCAGTCATCACAGGAAACATTCTGAGAATGCTTCTGTCTAGGTTTGATGTGAAGATATACCCGTTTCGAAGGAAGGCCACAAAGTGGTCCAAATATCCACTTGCAGATTCTACAAAAAGAGTGTTTGAAAGCTGAACTATGAAAGCAAGGTTGAACTCTGTGAGTTGAATGCAAACATCACAAAGAAGTTTCTCAGAATGCTTCCGTGTAGTTCTGGGAACTTTATCCCGTTTCCAACGAAATCCTCAGAGAAGTCCAAATATCCACTTGCAGATTCTACAGAAAGTGTGTCTGGAAACTGCGCCATCTAAAGGAATGTTCAGCTCTGTTAGTTCAATGCAATGATCACTAAGAATTGTCTGTGAATGCTTCCGTTTGGTTTTTAGATGAAGTTATTTCCTTTACTACAGTAGGCCTCAAAGCAGTCCAAATCTCCAATCGCAGATTCTACAAAAAGATTGTTTACAACCTGCTCTATCTAAAGGAATGTTCAACTCTGTGAGTCGAATGCAATCATCACAAAGTAGTTTCTGAGAATGCTTCCATCTAGTTTTTATGTGAAGATTTTCCTTTTCCACCACAGGCCTCAAAGCCCTCCAAATGTCCACTTTCAGATTCTAGAAAAAGAGGGTTTCAGAGCTGCTCTTTCAAGAGGAAAGTTCAATTCCTGAAGTGGAACACAAACATCACAAAGCAGTTTCTGAGAATGCTCCTGTTTAGTTTTTCTATGAAGATGAACCCGTTTCCAACGAAATCTTCACAGAGGTCCACATATCCACTTGCAGAATCCAAAGAAAGAGAGTTTTAAAACTGCTCCATCAGCAGGATTGTTCACCTCTGTGAGTTGAATGCAGTCATCACAGGAAACATTCTGAGAATGCTTCTGTCTAGGTTTGATGTGAAGATATACCCGTTTCGAAGGAAGGCCACAAAGTGGTCCAAATATCCACTTGCAGATTCTACAAAAAGAGTGTTTGAAAGCTGAACTATGAAAGCAAGGTTCAACTCTGTGAGTTGAATGCAAACATCACAAAGAAGTTTCTCACAATGCTTCCGTGTAGTTCTGGGAAGTTTATCCCGTTTCCAACGAAATCCTCAGAGAAGTCCAAATATCCACTTGCAGATTCTGCAGAAAGTGTGTTTGGAAACTGCTCCATCTAAAGGAATGTTCAGCTCTGTTAGTTCAATCCAATGATCACTAAGAATTGTCTGTGAATGCTTCCGTTTGGTTTTTAGATGACGTTATTTCCTTTACTACAGTAGGCCTCAAAGCAGTCCAAATCTCCAATCGCAGATTCTACAAAAACATTGTTTACAACCTGCTCTATCTATAGGAATGTTCAACTCTGTGAGTCGAATGCAATCATCACAAAGTAGTTTCTGAGAATGCTTCCATCTAGTTTTTATGGGAAGATTTTCCTTTTCCACCACAGGCCTCAAAGCCCTCCAAATGTCCACTTGCAGATTCTAGAAAAAGAGGGTTTCAGAGCTGCTCTGTCAAGAGGAAAGTTCAATTCTTGAAGTGGAACACAAACATCACAAAGCAGTTTCTGAGAATGCTCCTGTTTAGTTTTTCTGTGAAGATGAACACGTTTCCAACGAAATCTTCACAGAGGTACACATATCCACTTGCAGAATCCAAAGAAAGAGAGTTTCAAAACTGCTCCATCAGCAGGATTGTTCACCTCTGTGAGTTGAATGCAGTCATCACAGGAAACATTCTGAGAATGCTTCTGTCTAGGTTTGATGTGAAGATATACCCGTTTCGAAGGAAGGCCACAAAGTGGTCCAAATATCCACTTGCAGATTCTACAAAAAGAGTGTTTGAAAGCTGAACTATGAAAGCAAGGTTCAACTCTGTGAGTTGAATGCAAACATCACAAAGAAGTTTCTCACAATGCTTCCGTGTAGTTCTGGGAAGTTTATCCCGTTTCCAACGAAATCCTCAGAGAGGTCCAAATATCCACTTGCAGATTCTACAGAAAGTGTGTTTGGAAACTGCTCCATCTAAAGGAATGTTCAGCTCTGTTAGTTCAATGCCATGATCACTAAGAATTGTCTGTGAATGCTTCCGTTTGGTTTTTAGATGAAGTTATTTCCTTTACTACAGTAGGCCTCAAAGCAGTCCAAATCTCCAATCGCAGATTCTACAAAAAGATTGTTTACAACCTGCTCTATCTATAGGAATGTTCAACTCTGTGAGTCGAATGCAATCATCACAAAGTAGTTTCTGAGAATGCTTCCATCTAGTTTTTATGTGAAGATTTTCCTTTTCCACCACAGGCCTCAAAGCCCTCCAAATGTCCACTTGCAGATTCTAGAATAAGAGGGTTTCAGAGCTGCTCTGTCAAGAGGAAAGTTCAATTCCTGAAGTGGAACACAAACATCACAAAACAGTTTCTGAGAATGCTTCTGTTTAGTTTTTCTGTGAAGATGAACCCGTTTCCAACGAAATCTTCACAGAGGTCCACATATCCACTTGCAGAATCCAAAGAAAGGGAGTTTCAAAACTGCTCCATCAGCAGGATTGTTCACCTCTGTGAGTTGAATGCAGTCATCACAGGAAACATTCTGAGAATGCTTCTGTCTAGGTTTGATGTGAAGATATACCCGTTTCGAAGGAAGGCCACAAAGTGGTCCAAATATCCACTTGCAGATTCTACAAAAAGAGTGTTTGAAAGCTGAACTATGAAAGCAAGGTTCAACTCTGTGAGTTGAATGCAAACATCACAAAGAAGTTTCTCAGAATGCTTCCGTGTAGTTCTGGGAAGTTTATCCCGTTTCCAACGAAATCCTCGGAGAAGTCCAAATATCCACTTGCAGATTCTACAGAAAGTGGGTTTGGAAACTGCTCCATCTAAAGGAATGTTCAGCTCTGTTAGTTCAATGCAATGATCACTAAGAATTGTCTGTGAATGCTTCCGTTTGGTTTTTAGATGAAGTTATTTCCTTTACTACAGTAGGCCTCAAAGCAGTCCAAATCTCCAATCGCAGATTCTACAAAAAGATTGTTTACAACCTGCTGTATCTATAGGAATGTTCAACTCTGTGAGTCGAATGCAATCATCACAAAGTAGTTTCTGAGAATGCTTCCATCTAGTTTTTATGTGAAGATTTTCCTTTTCCACCACAGGCCTCAAAGCCCTCCAAATGTCCACTTGCAGATTCTAGAAAAAGAGGGTTTCAGAGCTGCTCTGTCAAGAGGAAAGTTCAATTCTTGAAGTGGAACACAAACATCACAAAGCAGTTTCTGAGAATGCTTCTGTTTAGTTTTTCTGTGAAGATGAACCCGTTTCCAACGAAATCTTCACAGAGGTCCACATATCAACTTGCAGAATCCAAAGAAAGAGAGTTTCAAAACTGCTTCATCAACAGGATTGTTCACCTCTGTGAGTTGAATGCAGTCATCACAGGAAACATTCTGAGAATGCTTCTGTCTAGGTTTGATGTGAAGATATACCCGTTTCGAAGGAAGGCCACAAAGTGGTCCAAATATCCACTTGCAGATTCTACAAAAAGAGTGTTTGAAAGCTGAACTATGAAAGCAAGGTTCAACTCTGTGAGTTGAATGCAAACATCACAAAGAAGTTTCTCAGCATGCTTCCGTGTAGTTCTGGGAATTTTATCCCGTTTCCAACGAAATCCTCAGAGAAGTCCAAATATCCACTTGCAGATTCTACAGAAAGTGTGTTTGGAAACTGCTCCATCTAAAGGAATGTTCAGCTCTGTTAGTTCAATCCAATGATCACTAAGAATTGTCTGTGAATGCTTCCGTTTGGTTTTTAGATGAAGTTATTTCCTTTACTACAGTAGGCCTCAAAGCAGTCCAAATCTCCAATCGCAGATTCTACAAAAAGATTGTTTACAACCTGCTCTATCTATAGGAATGTTCAACTCTGTGAGTCGAATGCAATCATCACAAAGTAGTTTCTGAGAATGCTTCCATCTAGTTTTTATGTGAAGATTTTCCTTTTCCACCACAGGCCTCAAAGCCCTCCAAATGTCCACTTGCAGATTCTAGAAAAAGAGGGTTTCAGAGCTGCTCTGTCAAGAGGAAAGTTCAATTCTTGAAGTGGAACACAAACATCACAAAGTAGTTTCTGAGAATGCTCCTGTTTAGTTTTTCTGTGAAGATGAACCCGTTTCCAACGAAATCTTCACAGAGGTCCACATATCCACTTGCAGAATCCAAAGAAAGAGAGTTTCAAAACTGCACCATCAGCAGGATTGTTCACCTCTGTGAGTTGAATGCAGTCATCACAGGAAACATTCTGAGAATGCTTCTGTCTAGGTTTGATGTGAAGATATACCCGTTTCGAAGGAAGGCCACAAGGTGGTCCAAATATCCACTTGCAGATTCTACAAAAAGAGTGTTTGAAAGCTGAACTATGAAAGCAAGGTTCAACTCTGTGAGTTGAATGCAAACATCACAAAGAAGTTTCTCAGAATGCTTCCGTGTAGTTCTGGGAAGTTTATCCCGTTTCCAACGGAATCCTCAGAGAAGTCCAAATATCCACTTGCAGATTCTACAGAAAGTGTGTTTGGAAACTGTGCCATCTAAGGGAATGTTCAGCTCTCTTAGTTCAATCCAATGATCACTAAGAATTGTCTGTGAATGCTTCCGTTTGGTTTTTAGATGAAGTTATTTCCTTTACTACAGTAGGCCTCAAAGCAGTCCAAATCTCCAATCAAAGATTCTGCAAAAAGATTGTTTACAACCTGCTCTATCTATAGGAATGTTCAACTCTGTGAGTCGAATGCAATCATCACAAAGTAGTTTCTGAGAATGCTTTCATCTAGTTTTTATGTGAAGATTTTCCTTTTCCACCACAGGCCTCAAAGCCCTCCAAATGTCCACTTGCAGATTCTAGAAAAAGAGGGTTTCAGAGCTGCTCTGTCAAGAGGAAAGTTCAATTCTTGAAGTGGAACACAAACATCACAAAGCAGTTTCTGAGAATGCTTCTGTTTAGTTTTTCTGTGAAGATGAACCCGTTTCCAACGAAATCTTCACAGAGGTCCACATATCCACTTGCAGAATCCAAAGAAAGAGAGATTCAAAACTGCTCCATCAACAGGATTGTTCACCTCTGTGAGTTGAATGCAGTCATCACATGAAACATTCTGAGAATGCTTCTGTCTAGGTTTGATGTGAAGATATACCCGTTTCGAAGGAAGGCCACAAAGTGGTCCAAATATCCACTTGCAGATTCTACAAAAAGAGTGTTTGAAAGCTGAACTATGAAACCAAGGTTCAACTCTGTGAGTTGAATGCAAACATCACAAAGAAGTTTCTCACAATGCTTCCGTGTAGTTCTGGGAAGTTTATCCCGTTTCCAACGAAATCCTCAGAGAAGTCCAAATATCCACTTGCAGATTCTACAGAAAGTGTGTTTGGAAACTGCTCCATCTAAAGGAATGTTCAGCTCTGTTAGTTCAATCCAATGATCACTAAGAATTGTCTGTGAATGCTTCCGTTTGGTTTTTAGATGAAGTTATTTCCTTTACTACAGTAGGCCTCAAAGCAGTCCAAATCTCCAATCGCAGATTCTACAAAAAGATTGTTTTCAACCTGCTCTATCTATAGGAATGTTCAACTCTGTGAGTCGAATGCAATCATCACAAAGTAGTTTCTGAGAATGCTTCCATCTAGTTTTTATGTGAAGATTTTCCTTTTCCACCACAGGCCTCAAAGCCCTCCAAATGTCCACTTGCAGATTCTAGAAAAAGAGGGTTTCAGAGCTGCTCTGTCAAGAGGAAAGTTCAATTCTTGAAGTGGAACACAAACATCACAAAGTAGTTTCTGAGAATGCTTCTGTTTAGTTTTTCTGTGAAGATGAACCCGTTTCCAACGAAATCTTCACAGAGGTCCACATATCCACTTGCAGAATCCAAAGAAAGAGAGTTTCAAAACTGCTCCATCAGCAGGATTGTTCACCTCTGTGAGTTGAATGCAGTCATCACAGGAAACATTCTGAGAATGCTTCTGTCTAGGTTTGATGTGAAGATATACCCGTTTCGAAGGAAGGCCACAAAGTGGTCCAAATATCCACTTGCAGATTCTACAAAAAGAGTGTTTGAAAGCTGAACTATGAAAGCAAGGTTCAACTCTGTGAGTTGAATGCAAACATCACAAAGAAGTTTCTCACAATGCTTTCGTGTAGTTCTGGGAAGTTTATCCCGTTTCCAACGAAATCCTCAGAGAAGTCCAAATATCCACTTGCAGATTCTACAGAAAGTGTGTTTGGAAACTGCTCCATCTAAAGGAATGTTCAGCTCTGTTAGTTCAATCCAATGATCACTAAGAATTGTCTGTGAATGCTTCCGTTTGGTTGTTAGATGAAGTAATTTCCTTTACTACAGTAGGCCTCAAAGCAGTCCAAATCTCCCATCGCAGATTCTACAAAAAGATTGTTTACAACCTGCTCTATCTATAGGAATGTTCAACTCTGTGAGTCGAATGCAATCATCACAAAGAAGTTTCTGAGAATGCTTCCATCTAGTTTTTATGTGAAGATTTTCCTTTTCCACCACAGGCCTCAAAGCCCTCCAAATGTCCACTTGCAGATTCTAGAAAAACAGGGTTTCAGAGCTGCTCTGTCAAGAGGTAAGTTCAATTCTTGAAGTGGAACACAAACATCACAAAGCATTTTCTGAGAATCCTCCTGTTTAGTTTTTCTATGAAGATGAACCCGTTTCCAACGAAATCTTCACAGAGGTCCACATATCCACTTGCAGAATCCAAAGAAAGAGAGTTTCAAAACTGCTCCATCAGCAGGATTGTTCACCTCTGTGAGTTGAATGCAGTCATCACAGGAAACATTCTGAGAATGCTTCTGTCTAGGTTTGATGTGAAGATATACCCGTTTCGAAGGAAGGCCACAAAGTGGTCCAAATATCCACTTGCAGATTCTACAAAAAGAGTGTTTGAAAGCTGAAGTATGAAAGCAAGGTTCAACTCTGTGAGTTGAATGCAAACATCACAAAGAAGTTTCTCACAATGCTTCCGTGTATTTCTGGGAAGTTTATCCCGTTTCCAACGAAATCCTCAGAGAGGTCCAAATATCCACTTGCAGATTCTACAGAAAGTGTGTTTGGAAACTGCGCCATCTAAAGCAATGTTCAGCTCTGTTAGTTCAATCCAATGATCACTAAGAATTGTCTGTGAATGCTTCCGTTTGGTTTTTAGATGAAGTTATTTCCTTTACTACAGTAGGCCTCAAAGCAGTCCAAATCTCCAATCGCAGATTCTACAAAAAGATTGTTTTCAACCTGCTCTATCTATAGGAATGTTCAACTCTGTGAGTCGAATGCAATCATCACAAAGTAGTTTCTGAGAATGCTTCCATCTAGTTTTTATGTGAAGATTTTCCTTTTCCACCACAGGCCTCAAAGCCCTCCAAATGTCCACTTGCAGATTCTAGAAAAAGAGGGTTTCAGAGCTGCTCTGTCAAGAGGAAAGTTCAATTCTTGAAGTGGAACACAAACATCACAAAGCAGTTTCTGAGAATGTTTCTGTTTAGTTTTTCTGTGAACATGAAACCGTTTCCAACGAAATCTTCACAGAGGTCCACATATCAACTTGCAGAATCCAAAGAAAGAGAGTTTCAAAACTGCTCCATCAACAGGATTGTTCACCTCTGTGAGTTGAATGCAGTCATCACAGGAAAACATTCTGAGAATGCTTCTGTCTAGGTTTGATGTGAAGATATACCCGTTTCGAAGGAAGGCCACAAAGTGGTCCAAATATCCACTTGCAGATTCTACAAAAAGAGTGTTTGAAAGCTGAACTATGAAAGCAAGGTTCAACTCTGTGAGTTGAATGCAAACATCACAAAGAAGTTTCTCACAATGCTTCCCTGTAGTTCTGGGAAGTTTATCCCGTTTCCAACGAAATCCTCAGAGAAGTCCAAATATCCACTTGCAGATTCTACAGAAAGTGGGTTTGGAAACTGCTCCATCTAAAGGAATGTTCAGCTCTGTTAGTTCAATCCAATGATCACTAAGAATTGTCTGTGAATGCTTCCGTTTGTTTTTTAGATGAAGTTATTTCCTTTACTACAGTAGACCTCAAAGCAGTCCAAATCTCCAATCGCAGATTCTACAAAAAGATTGTTTACAACCTACTCCATCTATAGGAATGTTCAACTCTGTGAGTCGAATGCAATCATCACAAAGTAGTTTCTGAGAATGCTTCTATCTAGTTTTTATATGCAGATATTTACGTTTCCGCCACAGGCCCCAAAGCCCTCCAAATGTCCCCTTGCAGATTCAAGAAAATCAATGTTTCATAGCTGCTCTGTCAAGAGGAAAGTTCAACTCTGCAAGTTGAACACAAACATCACAAAGTAGTTTCTGAGAATGCTTCTGTTTAGTTTTTCTGTGAAGATGAACCCGTTTCCAACGAAATCTTCACAGAGGTCCACATATCAACTTGCAGAATCCAAAGAAAGAGAGTTTCAAAACTGCTCCATCAACAGGATTGTTCACCTCTGTGAGTTGAATGCAGTCATCACAGGAAACACTCTGAGAATGCTTCTGTCTAGGTTTGATGTGAAGATATACCCGTTTCGAAGGAAGGCCACAAAGTGGTCCAAATATCCACTTGCAGATTCTACAAAAAGAGTGTTTGAAAGCTGAACTATGAAAGCAAGGTTCAACTCTGTGAGTTGAATGCAAACATCACAAAGAAGTTTCTCACAATGCTTCCGTGTAGTTCTGGGAAGTTTATCCCGTTTCCAACGAAATCCTCAGAGAGGTCCAAATATCCACTTGCAGATTCTACAGAAAGTGTGTTTGGAAACTGCGCCATCTAAAGGAATGTTCAGCTCTGTTAGTTCAATGCAATGATCACTAAGAATTGTCTGTGAATGCTTCCGTTTGGTTTTTAGATGAAGTTATTTCCTTTACTACAGTAGGCCTCAAAGCAGTCCAAATTTCCAATCGCAGATTCTACAAAAAGATTGTTTACAACCTGCTCTATCTATAGGAATGTTCAACTCTGTGAGTCGAATGCAATCATCACAAAGTAGTTTCTGAGAATGCTTCCATCTAGTTTTTATGTGAAGATTTTCGTTTTCCACCACAGGCCTCAAAGCCCTCCAAATGTCCACTTGCAGATTCTAGAATAAGAGGGTTTCAGAGCTGCTCTGTCAAGAGGAAAGTTCAATTCCTGAAGTGGAACACAAACATAACAAAGCAGTTTCTGACAATGCTTCTGTTTAGTTTTTCTGTGAAGATGAACCCGTTTCCAACGAAATCTTCACAGAGGTCCACATATCCACTTGCAGAATCCAAAGAAAGAGAGTTTCAAAACTGCTCCATCAGCAGGATTGTTCACCTCTGTGAGTTGAATGCAGTCATCACAGGAAACATTCTGAGAATGCTTCTGTCTAGGTTTGATGTGAAGATATACCCGTTTCGAAGGAAGGCCACAAAGTGGTCCAAATATCCACTTGCAGATTCTACAAAAAGAGTGTTTGAAAGCTGAACTATGAAAGCAAGGTTCAACTCTGTGAGTTGAATGCAAACATCACAAAGAAGTTTCTCACAATGCTTCCGTGTAGTTCTGGGAAGTTTATCCCGTTTCCAACGAAATCCTCAGAGAAGTCCAAATATCCACTTGCAGATTCTACAGAAAGTGGGTTTGGAAACTGCTCCATCTAAAGGAATGTTCAGCTCTGTTAGTTCAATCCAATGATCACTAAGAATTGTCTGTGAATGCTTCCGTTTGGTTTTTAGATGAAGTTATTTCCTTTACTACAGTAGGCCTCAAAGCAGTCCAAATCTCCAATCGCAGATTCTACAAAAAGATTGTTTACAACCTGCTCTATCTATAGGAATGTTCAACTATGTGAGTCGAATGCAATCATCACAAAGTAGTTTCTGAGAATGCTTCCATCTAGTTTTTATGTGAAGATTTTCCTTTTCCACCAGAGGCCTCAAAGCCCTCCAAATGTCCACTTGCAGATTCTAGAAAAAGAGGGTTTCAGAGCTGCTCTGTCAAGAGGAAAGTTCAATTCTTGAAGTGGAACACAAACATCACAAAGCAGTTTCTGGGAATGCTCCTGTTTAGTTTTTCTGTGAAGATGAACCCGTTTCCAACGAAATCTTCACAGAGGTCCACATATCCACTTGCAGAATCCAAAGAAAGAGAGTTTCAAAACTGCTCCATCAGAAGGATTGTTCACCTCTGTGAGTTGAATGCAGTCATCACAGGAAACATTCTGAGAATGCTTCTGTCTAGGTTTGATGTGAAGATATACCCGTTTCGAAGGAAGGCCACAAAGTGGTCCAAATATCCACTTGCAGATTCTACAAAAAGAGTGTTTGAAAGCTGAACTATGAAAGCAAGGTTCAACTCTGTGAGTTGAATGCAAACATCACAAAGAAGTTTCTCAGAATGCTTCCGTGTAGTTCTGGGAATTTTATCCCGTTTCCAACGAAATCCTCAGAGAAGTCCAAATATCCACTTGCAGATTCTACAGAAAGTGTGTTTGGAAACTGCTCCATCTAAAGGAATGTTCAGCTCTGTTAGTTCAATCCAATGATCACTAAGAATTGTCTGTGAATGCTTCCGTTTGGTTTTTAGATGAAGTTATTTCCTTTACTACAGTAGGCCTCAAAGCAGTCCAAATCTCCAATCGCAGATTCTACAAAAAGATTGTTTACAACCTGCTCTATCTATAGGAATGTTCAACTCTGTGAGTCGAATGCAATCATCACAAAGTAGTTTCTGAGAATGCTTCCATCTAGTTTTTATGTGAAGATTTTCCTTTTCCACCACAGGCCTCAAAGCCCTCCAAATGTCCACTTGCAGATTCTAGAATAAGAGGGTTTCAGAGCTGCTCTGTCAAGAGGAAAGTTCAATTCCTGAAGTGGAACACAAACATCACAAAGCAGTTTCTGAGAATGCTTCTGTTTAGTTTTTCTGTGAAGATGAACCCGTTTCCAACGAAATCTTCACAGAGGTCCACATATCCACTTGCAGAATCCAAAGAAAGAGAGTTTCAAAACTGCTCCATCAGCAGGATTGTTCACCTCTGTGAGTTGAATGCAGTCATCACAGGAAACATTCTGAGAATGCTTCTGTCTAGGTTTGATGTGAAGATATACCCGTTTCGAAGGAAGGCCACAAAGTGGTCCAAATATCCACTTGCAGATTCTACAAAAAGAGTGTTTGAAAGCTGAACTATGAAAGCAAGGTTCAACTCTGTGAGTTGAATGCAAACATCACAAAGAAGTTTCTCACAATGCTTCCGTGTAGTTCTGGGAAGTTTATCCCGTTTCCAACGAAATCCTCAGAGAGGTCCAAATATCCACTTGCAGATTCTACAGAAAGTGTGTTTGGAAACTGCGCCATCTAAAGCAATGTTCAGCTCTGTTAGTTCAATGCAATGATCACTAAGAATTGTCTGTGAATGCTTCCGTTTGGTTTTTAGATGAAGTTATTTCCTTTACTACAGTAGGCCTCAAAGCAGTCCAAATCTCCAATCGCAGATTCTACAAAAAGATTGTTTACAACCTGCTCTATCTATAGGAATGTTCAACTCTGTGAGTCGAATGCAATCATCACAAAGTAGTTTCTGAGAATGCTTCCATCTAGTTTTTATGTGAACATTTTCCTTTTCCACCACAGGCCTCAAAGCCCTCCAAATGTCCACTTGCAGATTCTAGAAAAAGAGGGTTTCAGAGCTGCTCTGTCAAGAGGAAAGTTCAATTCTTGAAGTGGAACACAAACATCACAAAGCAGTTTCTGAGAATGCTCCTGTTTAGTTTTTCTGTGAAGATGAACCCGTTTCCAACGAAATCTTCACAGAGGTCCACATATCCACTTGCAGAATCCAAAGAAAGAGAGTTTCAAAACTGCTCCATCAGCAGGATTGTTCACCTCTGTGAGTTGAATGCAGTCATCACAGGAAACATTCTGAGAATGCTTCTGTCTAGGTTTGATGTGAAGATATACCCGTTTCGAAGGAAGGCCACAAAGTGGTCCAAATATCCACTTGCAGATTCTACAAAAAGAGGGTTTGAAAGCTGAACTATGAAAGCAAGGTTCAACTCTGTGAGTTGAATGCAAACATCACAAAGAAGTTTCTCACAATGCTTCCGTGTAGTTCTGGGAAGTTTATCCCGTTTCCAACGAAATCCTCAGAGAAGTCCAAATATCCACTTGCAGATTCTAAAGAAAGTGTGTTTCGAAACTGCTCCACCTAAAGGAATGTTCAGCTCTGTTAGTTCAATGCAATGATCACTAAGAATTGTCTGTGAATGCTTCCGTTTGGTTTTTAGATGAAGTTATTTCCTTTACTACAGTAGGCCTCAAAGCAGTCCAAATCTCCAATCGCAGATTCTACAAAAAGATTGTTTACAACCTGCTCTATCTATAGGAATGTTCAACTCTGTGAGTCGAATGCAATCATCACAAAGTAGTTTCTGAGAATGCTTCCATCTAGTTTTTATGTGAAGATTTTCCTTTTCCACCACAGGCCTCAAAGCCCTCCAAATGTCCACTTGCAGATTCTAGAAAAAGAGGGTTTCAGAGCTGCTCTGTCAAGAGGAAAGTTCAATTCTTGAAGTGGAACACAAACATCACAAAGCAGTTTCTGAGAATGCTTCTGTTTAGTTTTTCTGTGAAGATGAACCCGTTTCCAACGAAATCTTCACAGAGGTCCACATATCCACTTGCAGAATCCAAAGAAAGAGAGTTTCAAAAGTGCTCCATCAACAGGATTGTTCACCTCTGTGAGTTGAATGCAGTCATCACAGGAAACATTCTGAGAATGCTTCTCTCTAGGTTTGATGTGAAGATATACCCGTTTCGAAGGAAGGCCACAAAGTGGTCCAAATATCCACTTGCAGATTCTACAAAAACAGTGTTTGAAAGCTGAACTATGAAAGCAAGGTTCAACTCTGTGAGTTGAATGCAAACATCACAAAGAAGTTTCTCAGAATGCTTCCGTGTAGTTCTGGGAAGTTTATCCCGTTTCCAACGAAATCCTCAGAGAAGTCCAAATATCCACTTGCAGATTCTACAGAAAGTGTGTTTGGAAACTGCTCCATCAAAAGGAATGTTCAGCTCTGTTAGTTCAATCCAATGATCACTAAGAATTGTCTGTGAATGCTTCCGTTTGGTTTTTAGATGAAGTTATTTCCTTTACTGCAGTAGGCCTCAAAGCATTCCAAATCTCGAATCGCAGATTCTACAAAAAGATTGTTTACAACCTGCTCTATCTATAGGAATGTTCAACTCTGTGAGTCGAATGCAATCATCACAAAGTAGTTTCTGAGAATGCTTCCATCTAGTTTTTATGGGAAGATTTTCCTTTTCCACCACAGGCCTCAAAGCCCTCCAAATGTCCACTTGCAGATTCTAGAAAAAGAGGGTTTCAGAGCTGCTCTGTCAAGAGGAAAGTTCAATTCTTGAAGTGGAACACAAACATCACAAAGCAGTTTCTGAGAATGCTTCTGTTTAGTTTTTCTGTGAAAATGAACCCGTTTCCAACGAAATCTTCACAGAGGTCCACATATCCACTTGCAGAATCCAAAGAAAGAGAGATTCAAAACTGCTCCATCAACAGGATTGTTCACCTCTGTGAGTTGAATGCAGTCATCACAGGAAACATTCTGAGAATGCTTCTGTCTAGGTTTGATGTGAAGATATACCCGTTTCGAAGGAAGGCCACAAAGTGGTCCAAATATCCACTTGCAGATTCTACAAAAAGAGTGTTTGAAAGCTGAACTATGAAAGCAAGGTTCAACTCTGTGAGTTGAATGCAAACATCACAAAGAAGTTTCTCAGAATGCTTCCGTGTAGTTCTGGGAAGTTTATCCCGTTTCCAACGAAATCCTCAGAGAGGTCCAAATATCCACTTGCAGATTCTACAGAAAGTGTGTTTGGAAACTGCTCCATCTAAAGGAATGTTCAGCTCTGTTAGTTCAATGCAATGATCACTAAGAATTGTCTGTGAATGCTTCCGTTTGGTTTTTAGATGAAGTTATTTCCTTTACTACAGTAGGCCTCAAAGCAGTCCAAATCTCCAATCGCAGATTCTACAAAAAGATTGTTTACAACCTGCTCTATCTATAGGAATGTTCAACTCTGTGAGTCGAATGCAATCATCACAAAGTAGTTTCTGAGAATGCTTCCATCTAGTTTTTATGTGAAGATTTTCCTTTTCCACCACAGGCCTCAAAGCCCTCCAAATGTCCACTTGCAGATTCTAGAAAAAGAGGGTTTCAGAGCTGCTCTGTCAAGAGGAAAGTTCAATTCTTGAAGTGGAACACAAACATCACAAAGCAGTTTCTGAGAATGCTCCTGTTTAGTTTTTCTGTGAAGATGAACCCGTTTCCAACGAAATCTTCACAGAGGTCCACATATCCACTTGCAGAATCCAAAGAAAGAGAGTTTCAAAACTGCTCCATCAGCAGGATTGTTCACCTCTGTGAGTTGAATGCAGTCATCACAGGAAACATTCTGAGAATGCTTCTGTCTAGGTTTGATGTGAAGATATACCCGTTTCGAAGGAAGGCCACAAAGTGGTCCAAATATCCACTTGCAGATTCTACAAAAAGAGTGTTTGAAAGCTGAACTATGAAAGCAAGGTTCAACTCTGTGAGTTGAATGCAAACATCACAAAGAAGTTTCTCACAATGCTTCCGTGTAGTTCTGGGAAGTTTTTCCCGTTTCCAACGAAATCCTCAGAGAAGTCCAAATATCCACTTGCAGATTCTACAGAAAGTGTGTTTGGAAACTGCTCCATCTAAAGGAATGTTCAGCTCTGTTAGTTCAATCCAATAGATCACTAAGAATTGTCTGTGAATGCTTCCGTTTGGTTTTTAGATGAAGTTATTTCCTTTACTACAGTAGGCCTCAAAGCAGTCCAAATCTCCAATCGCAGATTCTACAAAAAGATTGTTTACAACCTGCTCTATCTATAGGAATGTTCAACTCTATGAGTCGAATGCAATCATCACAAAGTAGTTTCTGAGAATGCTTCCATCTAGTTTTTATGTGAAGATTTTCCTTTTCCACCACAGGCCTCAAAGCCCTCCAAATGTCCACTTGCAGATTCTAGAATAAGAGGGTTTCAGAGCTGCTCTGTCAAGAGGAAAATACAATTCCTGAAGTGGAACACAAACATCACAAAGCAGTTTCTGAGAATGCTTCTGTTTAGTTTTTCTGTGAAGATGAACCCGTTTCCAACGAAATCTTCACAGAGGTCCACATATCCACTTGCAGAATCCAAAGAAAGAGAGTTTCAAAACTGCTCCATCAGCAGGATTGTTCACCTCTGTGAGTTGAATGCAGTCATCACAGGAAACATTCTGAGAATGCTTCTGTCTAGGATGATGTGAAGATATACCCGTTTCGAAGGAAGGCCACAAAGTGGTCCAAATATCCACTTGCAGATTCTACAAAAAGAGTGTTTGAAAGCTGAACTATGAAAGCAAGGTTCAACTCTGTGAGTTGAATGCAAACATCACAAAGAATTTTCTCACAATGCTTCCGTGTAGTTCTGGGAAGTTTATCCCGTTTCCAACGAAATCCTCAGAGAGGTCCAAATATCCACTTGCAGATTCTACAGAAAGTGTGTTTGGAAACTGCTCCATCTAAAGGAATGTTCAGCTCTGTTAGTTCAATCCAATGATCACTAAGAATTGTCTGTGAATGCTTCCGTTTGGTTTTTAGATGAAGTTATTTCCTTTACTACAGTAGACCTCAAAGCAGTCCAAATCTCCAATCGCAGATTCTACAAAAAGATTGTTTACAACCTGCTCTATCTATAGGAATGTTCAACTCTGTGAGTCGAATGCAATCATCACAAAGTAGTTTCTGAGAATGCTTCCATCTAGTTATTATGTGAAGATTTTCCTTTTCCACCACAGGCCTCAAAGCCCTCCAAATGTCCACTTGCAGATTCTAGAATAAGAGGGTTTCAGAGCTGCTCTGTCAAGAGGAAAGTTGAATTCCTGAAGTGGAACACAAACATCACAAAGCAGTTTCTGAGAATGCTCCTGTTTAGTTTTTCTGTGAAGATGAACCCGTTTCCAACGAAATCTTCACAGAGGTCCACATATCCACTTGCAGAATCCAAAGAAAGAGAGTTTCAAAACTGCTCCATCAGCAGGATTGTTCACCTCTGTGAGTTGAATGCAGTCATCACAGGAAACATTCCGAGAATGCTTCTGTCTAGGTTTGATGTGAAGATATACCCGTTTCGAAGGAAGGCCACAAAGTGGTCCAAATATCCACTTGCAGATTCTACAAAAAGAGTGTTTGAAAGCTGAACTATGAAAGCAAGGTTCAACTCTGTGAGTTGAATGCAAACATCACAAAGAAGTTTCTCAGAATGCTTCCGTGTAGTTCTGGGAAGTTTATCCCGTTTCCAACGAAATCCTCAGAGAAGTCCAAATATCCACTTGCAGATTCTACAGAAAGTGTGTTTGGAAACTGCTCCATCTAAAGGAATGTTCAGCTCTGTTAGTTCAATCCAATGATCACTAAGAATTGTCTGTGAATGCTTCCGTTTGGTTTTTAGATGAAGTTATTTCCTTTACTACAGTAGGCCTCAAAGCAGTCCAAATCTCCAATCGCAGATTCTACAAAAAGATTGTTTACAACCTGCTCTATCTATAGGAATGTTCAACTCTGTGAGTCGAATGCAATCATCACAAAGTAGTTTCTGAGAATGCTTCCATCTAGTTTTTATGTGAAGATTTTCCTTTTCCACCACAGGCCTCAAAGCCCTCCAAATGTCCACTTGCAGATTCTAGAAAAAGAGGGTTTCAGAGCTGCTCTGTCAAGAGGAAAGTTCAATTCTTGAAGTGGAACACAAACATCACAAAACAGTTTCTGAGAATGCTCCTGTTTAGTTTTTCTGTGAAGATGAACCCGTTTCCAACGAAATCTTCACAGAGGTCCACATATCCACTTGCAGAATCCAAACAAAGAGAGTTTCAAAACTGCTCCATCAGCAGGATTGTTCACCTCTGTGAGTTGAATGCAGTCATCACAGGAAAACATTCTGAGAATGCTTCTGTCTAGGTTTGATGTGAAGATATACCCGTTTCGAAGGAAGGCCACAAAGTGGTCCAAATATCCACTTGCAGATTCTACAAAAAGAGTGTTTGAAAGCTGAACTATGAAAGCAAAGTTCAACTCTGTGAGTTGAATGCAAACATCACAAAGAAGTTTCTCAGAATGCTTCCGTGTAGTTCTGGGAAGTTTATCCCGTTTCCAACGAAATCCTCAGAGAGGTCCAAATATCCACTTGCAGATTCTACAGAAAGTGTGTTTGGAAACTGCGCCATCTAAAGGAATGTTCAGCTCTGTTAGTTCAATGCAATGATCACTAAGGATTGTCTGTGAATGCTTCCGTTTGGTTTTTAGATGAAGTTATTTCCTTTACTACAGTAGGCCTCAAAGCAGTCCAAATCTCCAATCGCAGATTCTACAAAAAGATTGTTTACAACCTGCTCTATCTATAGGAATGTTCAACTCTGTGAGTCGAATGCAATCATCACAAAGTAGTTTCTGAGAATGCTTCCATCTAGTTTTTATGTGAAGATTTTCCTTTTCCACCACTGGCCTCAAAGCCCTCCAAATGTCCACTTGCAGATTCTAGAATAAGAGGGTTTCAGAGCTGCTCTGTCAAGAGGAAAGTTCAATTCCTGAAGTGGAACACAAAAATCACAAAGCAGTTTCTGAGAATGCTTCTGTTTAGTTTTTCTCTGAAGATGAACCCGTTTCCAACGAAATCTTCACAGAGGTCCACATATCAACTTGCAGAATCCAAAGAAAGAGAGTTTCAAAAGTGCTCCATCAACAGGATTGTTCACCTCTGTGAGTTGAATGCAGTCATCACAGGAAACATTCTGAGAATGCTTCTGTCTAGGTTTGATGTGAAGATATACCCGTTTCGAAGGAAGGCCACAAAGTGGTCCAAATATCCACTTGCAGATTCTACAAAAAGAGTGTTTGAAAGCTGAACTATGAAAGCAAGGTTCAACTCTGTGAGTTGAATGCAAACATCACAAAGAAGTTTCTCAGCATGCTTCCGTGTAGTTCTGGGAAGTTTATCCCGTTTCCAACGAAATCCTCAGAGAAGTCCAAATATCCACTTGCAGATTCTACAGAAAGTGTGTTTGGAAACTGCGCCGTCTAAAGCAATGTTCAGCTCTGTTAGTTCAATGCAATGATCACTAAGAATTGTCTGTGAATGCTTCCGTTTGATTTTTAGATGAAGTTATTTCCTTTACTACAGTAGGCCTCAAAGCAGTCCAAATCTCCAATCGCAGATTCTACAAAAAGATTGTTTACAACCTGCTCTATCTATAGGAATGTTCAACTCTGTGAGTCGAATGCAATCATCACAAAGTAGTTTCTGAGAATGCTTCCATCTAGTTTTTATGTGAAGATTTTCCTTTTCCACCACAGGCCTCAAAGCCCTCCAAATGTCCACTTGCAGATTCTAGAAAAAGAGGGTTTCAGAGCTGCTCTGTCAAGACGAAAGTTCAATTCTTGAAGTGGAACACAAACATCACAAAGCAGTTTCTGAGAATGCTCCTGTTTAGTTTTTCTGTGAAGATGAACCCGTTTCCAACGAAATCTTCACAGAGGTCCACATATCAACTTGCAGAATCCAAAGAAAGAGAGTTTCAAAACTGCTCCATCAACAGGATTGTTCACCTCTGTGAGTTGAATGCAGTCATCACAGGAAACATTCTGAGAATGCTTCTGTCTAGGTTTGATGTGAAGATATACCCGTTTCGAAGGAAGGCCACAAAGTGGTCCAAATATCCACTTGCAGATTCTACAAAAAGAGTGTTTGAAAGCTGAACTATGAAAGCAAGGTTCAACTCTGTGAGTTGAATGCAAACATCACAAAGAAGTTTCTCAGAATGCTTCCGTGTAGTTCTGGGAAGTTTATCCCGTTTCCAACGAAATCCTCAGAGAAGTCCAAATATCCACTTGCAGATTCTACAGAAAGTGTGTTTGGAAACTGCTCCATCTAAAGGAATGTTCAGCTCTGTTAGTTCAATCCAGTGATCACTAAGAATTGTCTGTGAATGCTTCCGTTTGGTTTTTAGATGAAGTTATTTCCTTTACTACAGTAGGCCTCAAAGCAGTCCAAATCTCCAATCGCAGATTCTACAAAAAGATTGTTTACAACCTGCTCTATCTATAGGAATGTTCAACTCTGTGAGTCGAATGCAATCATCACAAAGTAGTTTCTGAGAATGCTTCCATCTAGTTTTTATGTGAAGATTTTCCTTTTCCACCACAGGCCTCAAAGCCCTCCAAATGTCCACTTGCAGATTCTAGAAAAAGAGGGTTTCAGAGCTGCTCTGTCAAGAGGAAAGTTCAATTCCTGAAGTCGAACACAAACATCATACAGCAGTTTCTGAGAATGCTCCTGTTTAGTTTTTCTGTGAAGATGAACCCGTTTCCAACGAAATCTTCACAGAGGTCCACATATCCACTTGCAGAATCCAAAGAAAGAGAGTTTCAACACTGCTCCATCAGCAGGATTGTTCACCTCTGTGAGTTGAATGCAGTCATCACAGGAAACATTCTGAGAATGCTTCTGTCTAGGTTTGATGTGAAGATATACCCGTTTCGAAGGAAGGCCACAAAGTGGTCCAAATATCCACTTGCAGATTCTACAAAAAGAGTGTTTGAAAGCTGAACTATGAAAGCAAGGTTCAACTCTGTGAGTTGAATGCAAACATCACAAAGAAGTTTCTCAGAATGCTTCCGTGTAGTTCTGGGAAGTTTATCCCGTTTCCTACGAAATCCTCAGAGAGGTCCAAATATCCACTTGCAGATTCTACAGAAAGTGTGTTTGGAAACTGCGCCATCTAAGGGAATGTTCAGCTCTGTTAGTTCAATCCAATGATCACTAAGAATTGTCTGTGAATGCTTCCGTTTGGTTTTTAGATGAAGTTCTTTCCTTTACTGCAGTAGGCCTCAAAGCAGTCCAAATCTCCAATCGCAGATTCTACAAAAAGATTGTTTACAACCTGCTCTATCTATAGGAATGTTCAACTCTGTGAGTCGAATGCAATCATCACAAAGTAGTTTCTGAGAATGCTTCCATCTAGTTTTTATGGGAAGATTTTCCTTTTCCACCACAGGCCTCAAAGCCCTCCAAATGTCCACTTGCAGATTCTAGAAAAAGAGGGTTTCAGAGCTGCTCTGTCAAGAGGAAAGTTCAATTCTTGAAGTGGAACACAAACATCACAAAGCAGTTTCTGAGAATGCTCCTGTTTAGTTTTTCTGTGAAGATGAACCCGTTTCCAACGAAATCTTCACAGAGGTCCACATATCCACTTGCAGAATCCAAAGAAAGAGAGTTTCAAAACTGCTCCATCAGCAGGATTGTTCACCTCTGTGAGTTGAATGCAGTCATCACAGGAAACATTCTGAGAATGCTTCTGTCTAGGTTTGATGTGAAGATATACCCGTTTCGAAGGAAGGCCACAAAGTGGTCCAAATATCCACTTGCAGATTCTACAAAAAGAGTGTTTGAAAGCTGAACTATGAAAGCAAGGTTCAACTCTGTGAGTTGAATGCAAACATCACAAAGAAGTTTCTCACAATGCTTCCGTGTAGTTCTGGGAAGCTTATCCCGTTTCCAACGAAATCCTCAGAGAGGTCCAAATATCCACTTGCAGATTCTACAGAAAGTGTGTTTGGAAACTGCACCATCTAACGGAATTTTCAGCTCTGTTAGTTCAATCCAATGATCACTAAGAATTGTCTGTGAATGCTTCCGTTTGGTTTTTAGATGAAGTTATTTCCTTTACTACAGTAGGCCTCAAAGCAGTCCAAATCTCCAATCGCAGATTCTACAAAAAGATTGTTTACAACCTGCTCTATCTATAGGAATGTTCAACTCTGTGAGTCGAATGCAATCATCACAAAGGAGTTTCTGAGAATGCTTCCATCTAGTTTTTATGTGAAGATTTCCCTTTTCCACCACAGGCCTCAAAGCCCTCCAAATGTCCACTTGCAGATTCTAGAATAAGAGGATTTCAGAGCTGCTCTGTCAAGAGGAAAGTTCAATTCCTGAAGTGGAACACAAACATCACAAAGCAGTTTCTGAGAATGTTTCTGTTTAGTTTTTCTGTGAAGATGAACCCGTTTCCAACGAAATCTTCACAGAGGTCCACATATCCACTTGCAGAATCCAAAGAAAGAGAGTTTCAAAACTGCTCCATCAGCAGGATTGTTCACCTCTGTGAGTTGAATGCAGTCATCACAGGAAACATTCTGAGAATGCTTCTGTCTAGGTTTGATGTGAAGATATACCCGTTTCGAAGGAAGGCCACAAAGTGGTCCAAATATCCACTTGCAGATTCTACAAAAAGAGTGTTTGAAAGCTGAACTATGAAAGCAAGGTTCAACTCTGTGAGTTGAATGCAAACATCACAAAGAAGTTTCTCAGAATGCTTCCGTGTAGTTCTGGGAAGTTTATCCCGTTTCCAACGATATCCTCAGAGAGGTCCACATATCCACTTGCAGATTCTACAGAAAGTGTGTTTGGAAACTGCGCCATCTAAAGGAATGTTCAGCTCTGTTAGTTCAATGCAATGATCACTAAGAATTGTCTGTGAATGCTTCCGTTTGGTTTTTAGATGAAGTTATTTCCTTTACTACAGTAGGCCTCAAAGCAGTCCAAATCTCCAATCGCAGATTCTACAAAAAGATTGTTTACAACCTGCTCTATCTATAGGAATGTTCAACTCTGTGAGTCGAATGCAATCATCACAAAGTAGTTTCTGAGAATGCTTCCATCTAGTTTTTATGTGAAGATTTTCCTTTTCCACCACAGGCCTCAAAGCCCTCCAAATGTCCACTTGCAGATTCTAGAAAAAGAGGGATTCAGAGCTGCTCTGTCAAGAGGAAAGTTCAATTCTTGAAGTGGAACACAAACATCACAAAGCAGTTTCTGAGAATGCTCCTGTTTAGTTTTTCTGTGAAGATGAACCCGTTTCCAACGATATCTACACAGAGGTCCACATATCCACTTGCAGAATCCAAAGAAAGAGAGTTTCAAAACTGCTCCATCAGCAGGATTGTTCACCTCTGTGAGTTGAATGCAGTCATCACAGGAAACATTCTGAGAATGCTTCTGTCTAGGTTTGATGTGAAGATATACCCGTTTCGAAGGAAGGCCACAAAGTGGTCCAAATATCCACTTGCAGATTCTACAAAAAGAGTGTTTGAAAGCTGAACTATGAAAGCAAGGTTCAACTCTGTGAGTTGAATGCAAACATCACAAAGAAGTTTCTCACAATGCTTCCGTGTAGTTCTGGGAAGTTTATCCCTTTTCCAACGAAATCCTCAGAGTAGTCCAAATATCCACTTGCAGATTCTACAGAAAGTGTGTTTGGAAAATGCTCCATCTAAAGGAATGTTCAGCTCTGTTAGTTCAATCCAATGATCACTAAGAATTGTCTGTGAATGCTTCCGTTTGGTTTTTAGATGAAGTTATTTCCTTTACTACAGTAGGCCTCAAAGCAGTCCAAATCTCCAATCGCAGATTCTACAAAAAGATTGTTTACAACCTGCTCTATCTATAGGAATGTTCAACTCTGTGAGTCGAATGCAATCATCACAAAGTAGTTTCTGAGAATGCTTCCATCTAGTTTTTATGTGAAGATTTTCCTTTTCCACCACAGGCCTCAAAGCCCTCCAAATGTCCACTTGCAGATTCTAGAATAAGAGGGTTTCAGAGCTGCTCTGTCAAGAGGAAAGTTCAATTCCTGAAGTGGAACACAAACATCACAAAGCAGTTTCTGAGAATGCTTCTGTTTAGTTTTTCTGTGAAGATGAACCCGTTTCCAACGAAATCTTCACAGAGGTCCACATATCCACTTGCAGAATCCAAAGAAAGAGAGTTTCAAAACTGCTCCATCAGCAGGATTGTTCACCTCTGTGAGTTGAATGCAGTCATCACAGGAAACATTCTGAGAATGCTTCTGTCTAGGTTTGATGTGAAGATATACCCGTTTCGAAGGAAGGCCACAAAGTGGTCCAAATATCCACTTGCAGATTCTACAAAAAGAGTGTTTGAAAGCTGAACTATGAAAGCAAGGTTCAACTCTGTGAGTTGAATGCAAACATCACAAAGAAGTTTCTCAGAATGCTTCCGTGTAGTTCTGGGAAGTTTATCCCGTTTCCAACGAAATCCTCAGAGAAGTCCAAATATCCACTTGCAGATTCTACAGAAAGTGTGTTTGGAAACTGCTCCATCTAAAGGAATGTTCAGCTCTGTTAGTTCAATCCAATGATCACTAAGAATTGTCTGTGAATGCTTCCGTTTGGTTTTTAGATGAAGTTATTTCCTTTACTACAGTAGGCCTCAAAGCAGTCCAAATCTCCAATCGCAGATTCTACAAAAACATTGTTTACAACCTGCTCTATCTATAGGAATGTTCAACTCTGTGAGTCGAATGCAATCATCACAAAGTAGTTTCTGAGAATGCTTCCATCTAGTTTTTATGTGAAGATTTTCCTTTTCCACCACAGGCCTCAAAGCCCTCCAAATGTCCACTTGCAGATTCTAGAAAAAGAGGGTTTCAGAGCTGCTCTGTCAAGAGGAAAGTTCAATTCTTGAAGTGGAACACAAACATCACAAAGCAGTTTCTGAGAATGCTTCTGTTTAGTTTTTCTGTGAAGATGAACCCGTTTCCAACGAAATCTTCACAGAGGTCCACATATCAACTTGCAGAATCCAAAGAAAGAGAGTTTCAAAACTGCTCCATCAACAGGATTGTTCACCTCTGTGAGTTGAATGCAGTCATCACAGGAAACATTCTGAGAATGCTTCTGTCTAGGTTTGATGTGAAGATATACCCGTTTCGAAGGAAGGCCACAAAGTGGTCCAAATATCCACTTGCAGATTCTACAAAAAGAGTGTTTGAAAGCTGAACTATGAAAGCAAGGTTCAACTCTGTGAGTTGAATGCAAACATCACAAAGAAGTTTCTCAGAATGCTTCCGTGTAGTTCTGGGAAGTTTATCCCGTTTCCAACGAAATCCTCAGAGAGGTCCAAATATCCACTTGCAGATTCTACAGAAAGTGTGTTTGGAAAGTGCTCCATCTAAAGGAATGTTCAGCTCTGTTAGTTCAATCCAATATCACTAAGAATTATCTGTGAATGCTTCCGTTTTGTTTTTAGATGAAGTTATTTCCTTTACTACAGTAGGCCTCAAAGCAGTCCAAATCTCCAATCGCAGATTCTACAAAAAGATTGTTTACAACCTGCTCTATCTATGGGAATGTTCAACTCTGTGAGTCGAATGCAATCATCACAAAGTAGTTTCTGAGAATGCTTCCATCTAGTTTTTATGTGAAGATTTTCCTTTTCCACCACAGGCCTCAAAGCCCTCCAAATGTCCACTTGCAGATTCTAGAATAAGAGGATTTCAGAGCTGCTCTGTCAAGAGGAAAGTTCAATTCCTGAAGTGGAACACAAACATCACAAAGCAGTTTCTGAGAATGTTTCTGTTTAGTTTTTCTGTGAAGATTAACACGTTTCCAACGAAATCTTCACAGAGGTCCAGATATCCACTTGCAGAATCCAAAGAAAGAGAGTTTCAAAACTGCTCCATCAGCAGGATTGTTCACCTCTGTGAGTTGAATGCAGTCATCATAGGAAACATTCTGAGAATGCTTCTGTCTAGGTTTGATGTGAAGATATACCCGTTTCGAAGGAAGGCCACAAAGTGGTCCAAATATCCACTTGCAGATTCTACAAAAAGAGTGTTTGAAAGCTGAACTATGAAAGCAAGGTTCAACTCTGTGAGTTGAATGCAAACATCACAAAGAAGTTTCTCAGAATGCTTCCGTGTAGTTCTGGGAAGTTTATCCCGTTTCCAACGAAATCCTCAGAGAAGTCCAAATATCCACTTGCAGATTCTACAGAAAGTGTGTTTGGAAACTGCGCCATCTAAAGGAATGTTCAGCTCTGTTAGTTCAATGCAATGATCACTAAGAATTGTCTGTGAATGCTTCCGTTTGGTTTTTAGATGAAGTTATTTCCTTTACTACAGTAGGCCTCAAAGCAGTCCAAATCTCCAATCGCAGATTCTACAAAAACATTGTTTACAACCTGCTCTATCTATAGGAATGTTCAACTCTGTGAGTCGAATGCAATCATCACAAAGTAGTTTCTGAGAATGCTTCCATCTAGTTTTTATGTGAAGATTTTCCTTTTCCACCACAGGCCTCAAAGCCCTCCAAATGTCCACTTGCAGATTCTAGAAAAAGAGGGTTTCAGAGCTGCTCTGTCAAGAGGAAAGTTCAATTCTTGAAGTGGAACACAAACATCACAAAGCAGTTTCTGAGAATGCTTCTGTTTAGTTTTTCTGTGAAGATGAACCCGTTTCCAACGAAATCTTCACAGAGGTCCACATATCCACTTGCAGAATCCAAAGAAAGAGAGTTTCAAAACTGCTCCATCAGCAGGATTGTTCACCACTGTGAGTTGAATGCAGTCATCACAGGAAACATTCTGAGAATGCTTCTGTCTAGGTTTGATGTGAAGATATACCCGTTTCGAAGGAAGGCCACAAAGTGGTCCAAATATCCACTTGCAGATTCTACAAAAAGAGTGTTTGAAAGCTGAACTATGAAAGCAAGGTTCAACTCTGTGAGTTGAATGCAAACATCACAAAGAAGTTTCTCAGAATGCTTCCGTGTAGTTCTGGGAAGTTTATCCCGTTTCCAACGAAATCCTCAGTAGAAGTCCAAATATCCACTTGCAGATTCTACAGAAAGTGTGTTTGGAAACTGCGCCATCTAAAGGAATGTTCAGCTCTGTTAGTTCAATCCAATGATCACTAAGTATTGTCTGTGAATGCTTCCGTTTGGTTTTTAGATGAAGTAATTTCCTTTACTACAGTAGGCCTCAAAGCAGTCCAAATCTCCAATCGCAGATTCTACAAAAAGATTGTTTACAACCTGCTCTATCTATAGGAATGTTCAACTCTGTGAGTCGAATGCAATCATCACAAAGTAGTTTCTGAGAATGCTTCCATCTAGTTTTTATGTGAAGATTTTCCTTTTCCACCACAGGCCTCAAAGGCCTCCAAATGTCCACTTGCAGATTCTAGAATAAGAGGGTTTCAGAGCTGCTCTGTCAAGAGGAAAGTACAATTCCTGAAGTGGAACACAAACATCACAAAGCAGTTTCTGAGTATGCTCCTGTTTAGTTTTTCTGTGAAGATGAACCCGTTTCCAACGAAATCTTCACAGAGGTCCACATATCCACTTGCAGAATCCAAAGAAAGAGAGTTTCAAAACTGCTCCATCAGCAGGATTGTTCACCTCTGTGAGTTGAATGCAGTCATCACAGGAAACATTCTGAGAATGCTTCTGTCTAAGTTTGATGTGAAGATATACCCGTTTCGAAGGAAGGCCACAAAGTGGTCCAAATATCCACTTGCAGATTCTACAAAAAGAGTGTTTGAAAGCTGAACTATGAAAGCAAGGTTCAACTCTGTGAGTTGAATGCAAACATCACAAAGAAGTTTCTCACAGTGCTTCCGTGTAGTTCTGGGAAGTTTATCCCGTTTCCAACGAAATCCTCCGAGAAGTCCAAATATCCACTTGCAGATTCTACAGAAAGTGGGTTTGGAAACTGCTCCATCTAAAGGAATGTTCAGCTCTGTTAGTTCAATCCAATGATCACTAAGAATTATCTGTGAATGCTTCCGTTTGGTTTTTAGATGAAGTTATTTCCTTTACTACAGTAGGCCTCAAAGCAGTCCAAATCTCCAATCGCAGATTCTACAAAAAGATTGTTTACAACCTGCTCTATCTATAGGAATGTTCAACTCTGTGAGTCGAATGCAATCATCACAAAGTAGTTTCTGAGAATGCTTCCATCTAGTTTTTATGTGAAGAGTTTCCTTTTCCACCACAGGCCTCAAAGCCCTCCAAATGTCCACTTGCAGATTCTAGAAAAAGAGGGTTTCAGAGCTGCTCTGTCAAGAGGAAAGTTCAATTCTTGAAGTGGAACACAAACATCACAAAGCAGTTTCTGAGAATGCTTCTGTTTAGTTTTTCTGTGAAGATGAACCCGTTTCCAACGAAATCTGCACAGAGGTCCACATATCCACTTGCAGAATACAAAGAAAGAGAGTTTCAAAACTGCTCCATCAACAGGATTGTTCACCTCTGTGAGTTGAATGCAGTCATCACAGGAAACATTCTGAGAATGCTTCTGTCTAGGTTTGATGTGAAGATATACCCGTTTCGAAGGAAGGCCACAAAGTGGTCCAAATATCCACTTGCAGATTCTACAAAAAGAGTGTTTGAAAGCTGAACTATGAAAGCAAGGTTCAACTCTGTGAGTTGAATGCAAACATCACAAAGAAGTTTCTCAGAATACTTCCGTGTAGTTCTGGGAAGTATATCCCGTTTCCAACGAAATCCTCAGAGAGGTCCAAATATCCACTTGCAGATTCTACAGAAAGTGGGTTTGGAAACTGCTCCATCTAAAGGAATGCTCAGCTCTGTTAGTTCAATCCAATGATCACTAAGCATTGTCTGTGAATGCTTCCGTTTGGTTTTTAGATGAAGTTATTTCCTTTACTACAGTATGCCTCAAAGCTGTCCAAATCTCCAATCGCAGATTCTACAAAAAGATTGTTTACAACCTGCTCTATCTATAGGAATGTTCAACTCTGTGAGTCGAATGCAATCATCACAAAGTAGTTCCTGAGAATGCTTCCATCTAGTTTTTATGTGAAGATTTTCCTTTTCCACCACAGGCCTCAAATCCCTCCAAATGTCCACTTGCAGATTCTAGAAAAAGAGGGTTTCAGAGCTGCTCTGTCAAGAGGAAAGTTCAATTCTTGAAGTGGAACACAAACATCACAAAGCAGTTTCTGAGAATGCTCCTGTTTAGTTTTTCTGTGAAGATGAACCCGTTTCCAACGAAATCTTCACAGAGGTCCACATATCCACTTGCAGAATCCAAAGAAAGAGAGTTTCAACACTGCTCCATCAGCAGGATTGTTCACCTCTGTGAGTTGAATGCAGTCATCACAGGAAACATTCTGAGAATGCTTCTGTCTAGGTTTGATGTGAAGATATACCCGTTTCGAAGGAAGGCCACAAAGTGTCCAAATATCCACTTGCAGATTCTACAAAAAGAGTGTTTGAAAGCTGAACTATGAAAGCAAGGTTCAACTCTGTGAGTTGAATGCAAACATCACAAAGAAGTTTCTCAGAATGCTTCCGTGTAGTTCTGGGAAGTTTATCCCGTTTCCAACGAAATCCTCAGAGAAGTCCAAATATCCACTTGCAGATTCTACAGAAAGTGTGTTTGGAAACTGCTCCATCTAAAGGAATGTTCAGCTCTGTTAGTTCAATCCAATGATCACTAAGAATTGTCTGTGAATGCTTCCGTTTGGTTTTTAGATGAAGTTATTTCCTTTACTACAGTAGGCCTCAAAGCAGTCCAAATCTCCAATCGCAGATTCTACAAAAACATTGTTTACAACCTGCTCTATCTATAGGAATGTTCAACTCTGTGAGTCGAATGCAATCATCACAAAGTAGTTTCTGAGAATGCTTCCATCTAGTTTTTATGTGAAGATTTTCCTTTTCCACCACAGGCCTCAAAGCCCTCCAAATGTCCACTTGCAGATTCTAGAATAAGAGGGTTTTAGAGCTGCTCTGTCAAGAGGAAAGTTCAATTCCTGAAGTGGAACACAAACATCACAAAGCAGTTTCTGAGAATGCTCCTGTTTAGTTTTTCTGTGAAGATGAACCCGTTTCCAACGAAATCTTCACAGAGGTCCACATATCCACTTGCAGAATCCAAAGAAAGAGAGTTTCAAAACTGCTCCATCAGCAGGATTGTTCACCTCTGTGAGTTGAATGCAGTCATCACAGGAAACATTCTGAGAATGCTTCTGTCTAGGTTTGATGTGAAGATATACCCGTTTCGAAGGAAGGCCACAAAGTGGTCCAAATATCCACTTGCAGATTCTACAAAAAGAGTGTTTGAAAGCTGAACTATGAAAGCAAGGTTCAACTCTGTGAGTTGAATGCAAACATCACAAAGAAGTTTCTCACAATGCTTCCGTGTAGTTCTGGGAAGTTTATCCCGTTTCCAACGAAATCCTCAGAGAGGTCCAAATATCCACTTGCAGATTCTACAGAAAGTGTGTTTGGAAACTGCTCCATCTAAAGGAATGTTCAGCTCTGTTAGTTCAATCCAATGATCACTAAGAATTGTCTGTGAATGCTTCCGTTTGGTTTTTAGATGAAGTTATTTCCTTTACTACAGTAGGCCTCAAAGCAGTCCAAATCTCCAATCGCAGATTCTACAAAAAGATTGTTTACAACCTGCTCTATCTATAGGAATGTTCAACTCTGTGAGTCGAATGCAATCATCACAAAGTAGTTTCTGAGAATGCTTCCATCTAGTTTTTATGTGAAGATTTTCCTTTTGCACCACAGGTCTCAAAGCCCTCCAAATGTCCACTTGCAGATTCTAGAAAAAGAGGGTTTCAGAGCTGCTCTGTCAAGAGGAAAGTTCAATTCTTGAAGTGGAACACAAACATCACAAAGCAGTTTCTGAGAATGCTCCTGTTTAGTTTTTCTGTGAAGATGAACCCGTTTCCAACGAAATCTTCACAGAGGTCCACATATCCACTTGCAGAATCCAAAGAAAGAGAGTTTCAAAACTGCTCCATCAGCAGGATTGTTCACCTCTGTGAGTTGAATGCAGTCATCACAGGAAACATTCTGAGAATGCTTCTGTCTAGGTTTGATGTGAAGATATACCCGTTTCGAAGGAAGGCCACAAAGTGGTCCAAATATCCACTTGCAGATTCTACAAAAAGAGTGTTTGAAAGCTGAACTATGAAAGCAAGGTTCAACTCTGTGAGTTGAATGCAAACATCACAAAGAAGTTTCTCACAATGCTTCCGTGTAGTTCTGGGAAGTTTATCCCGTTTCCAACGAAATCCTCAGAGTAGTCCAAATATCCACTTGCAGATTCTACAGAAAGTGTGTTTGGAAAATGCTCCATCTAAAGGAATGTTCAGCTCTGTTAGTTCAATCCAATGATCACTAAGAATTGTCTGTGAATGCTTCCGTTTGGTTTTTAGATGAAGTTATTTCCTTTACTACAGTAGGCCTCAAAGCAGTCCAAATCTCCAATCGCAGATTCTACAAAAAGATTGTTTACAACCTGCTCTATCTATAGGAATGTTCAACTCTGTGAGTCGAATGCAATCATCACAAAGTAGTTTCTGAGAATGCTTCCATCTAGTTTTTATGTGAAGATTTTCCTTTTCCACCACAGGCCTCAAAGCCCTCCAAATGTCCACTTGCAGATTCTAGAATAAGAGGGTTTCAGAGCTGCTCTGTCAAGAGGAAAGTTCAATTCCTGAAGTGGAACACAAACATCACAAAGCAGTTTCTGAGAATGCTTCTGTTTAGTTTTTCTGTGAAGATGAACCCGTTTCCAACGAAATCTTCACAGAGGTCCACATATCCACTTGCAGAATCCAAAGAAAGAGAGTTTCAAAACTGCTCCATCAGCAGGATTGTTCACCTCTGTGAGTTGAATGCAGTCATCACAGGAAACATTCTGAGAATGCTTCTGTCTAGGTTTGATGTGAAGATATACCCTTTTCAAAGGAAGGCCACAAAGTGGTCCAAATATCCACTTGCAGATTCTACAAAAAGAGTGTTTGAAAGCTGAACTATGAAAGCAAGGTTCAACTCTGTGAGTTGAATGCAAACATCACAAAGAAGTTTCTCAAAATGCTTCCGTGTAGTTCTGGGAAGTTTATCCCGTTTCCAACGAAATCCTCAGAGAAGTCCAAATATCCACTTGCAGATTCTACAGAAAGTGGGTTTGGAAACTGCTCCATCTAAAGGAATGTTCAGCTCTGTTAGTTCAATCCAATGATCACTAAGAATTGTCTGTGAATGCTTCCGTTTGGTTTTTAGATGAAGTTATTTCCTTTACTACAGTAGGCCTCAAAGCAGTCCAAATCTCCAATCGCAGATTCTACAAAAAGATTGTTTTCAACCTGCTCTATCTATAGGAATGTTCAACTCTGTGAGTCGAATGCAATCATCACAAAGTAGTTTCTGAGAATGCTTCCATCTAGTTTTTATGTGAAGATTTTCCTTTTCCACCACAGGCCTCAAAGCCCTCCAAATGTCCACTTGCAGATTCTAGAAAAAGAGGGTTTCAGAGCTGCTCTGTCAAGAGGAAAGTTCAATTCCTGAAGTGGAACACAAACATCACAAAGCAGTTTCTGAGAATGCTCCTGTTTAGTTTTTCTGTGAAGATGAACCCGTTTCCAACGAAATCTTCACAGAGGTCCACATATCCACCTGCAGAATCCAAAGAAAGAGAGTTTCAAAACTGCTCCATCAGCAGGATTGTTCACCTCTGTGAGTTGAATGCAGTCATCACAGGAAACATTCTGAGAATGCTTCTGTCTAGGTTTGATGTGAAGATATACCCGTTTCGAAGGAAGGCCACAAAGTGGTCCAAATATCCACTTGCAGATTCTACAAAAAGAGTGTTTGAAAGCTGAACTATGAAAGCAAGGTTCAACTCTGTGAGTTGAATGCAAACATCACAAAGAAGTTTCTCAGAATGCTTCCGTGTAGTTCTGGGAAGTTTATCCCGTTTCCAACGAAATCCTCAGAGAGGTCCAAATATCCACTTTCAGATTCTACAGAAAGTGTGTTTGGAAACTGCGCCATCTAAAGGAATGTTCAGCTCTGTTAGTTCAATGCAATGATCACTAAGAATTCTCTGTGAATGCTTCCGTTTGGTTTTTAGATGAAGTTATTTCCTTTACTACAGTAGGCCTCAAAGCAGTCCAAATCTCCAATCGCAGATTCTACAAAAAGATTGTTTACAACCTGCTCTATCTATAGGAATGTTCAACTCTGTGAGTCGAATGCAATCATCACAAAGTAGTTTCTGAGAATGCTTCCATCTAGTTTTTATGTGAAGATTTTCCTTTTCCACCACAGGCCTCAAAGCCCTCCAAATGTCCACTTGCAGATTCTAGAAGAAGAGGGTTTCAGAGCTGCTCTGTCAAGAGGAAAGTTCAATTCTTGAAGTGGAACACAAACATCACAAAGCAGTTTCTGAGAATGCTCCTGTTTAGTTTTTCTGTGAAGATGAACCCGTTTCCAACGAAATCTTCACAGAGGTCCACATATCCACTTGCAGAATCCAAAGAAAGAGAGTTTCAAAACTGCTCCATCAGCAGGATTGTTCACCTCTGTGAGTTGAATGCAGTCATCACAGGAAACATTCTGAGAATGCTTCTGTCTAGGTTTGATGTGAAGATATACCCGTTTCGAAGGAAGGCCACAAAGTGGTCCAAATATCCACTTGCAGATTCTACAAAAAGAGTGTTTGAAAGCTGAACTATGAAAGCAAGGTTCAACTCTGTGAGTTGAATGCAAACATCACAAAGAAGTTTCTCACAATGCTTCCGTGTAGTTCTGGGAAGTTTATCCCGTTTCCAACGAAATCCTCAGAGAAGTCCAAATATCCACTTGCACATTCTACAGAAAGTGTGTTTGGAAACTGCTCCATCTAAAGGAATGTTCAGCTCTGTTAGTTCAATGCAATGATCACTAAGAATTGTCTGTGAATGCTTCCGTTTGGTTTTTAGATGAAGTTATTTCCTTTACTACAGTAGGCCTCAAAGCAGTCCAAATCTCCAATCGCAGATTCTACAAAAAGATTGTTTACAACCTGCTCTATCTATAGGAATGTTCAACTCTGTGAGTCGAATGCAATCATCACAAAGTAGTTTCTGAGAATGCTTCCATCTAGTTTTTATGTGAAGATTTTCCTTTTCCACCACAGGCCTCAAAGCCCTCCAAATGTCCACTTGCAGATTCTAGAAAAAGAGGGTTTCAGAGCTGCTCTGTCAAGAGGAAAGTTCAATTCTTGAAGTGGAACACAAACATCACAAAGCAGTTTCTGAGAATGTTTCTGTTTAGTTTTTCTGTGAAGATGAACCCGTTTCCAACGAAATCTTCACAGAGGTCCACATATCCACTTGCAGAATCCAAAGAAAGAGAGTTTCAAAACTCCTCCATCAGCAGGATTGTTCACCTCTGTGAGTTGAATGCAGTCATCACAGGAAACATTCTGAGAATGCTTCTGTCTAGGTTTGATGTGAAGATATACCCGTTTCGAAGGAAGGCCACAAAGTGGTCCAAATATCCACTTGCAGATTCTACAAAAAGAGGGTTTGAAAGCTGAACTATGAAAGCAAGGTTCAACTCTGTGAGTTGAATGCAAACATCACAAAGAAGTTTCTCAGAATGCTTCCGTGTAGTTCTGGGAAGTTTATCCCGTTTCCAACGAAATCCTCAGAGAGGTCCAAATATCCACTTGCAGATTCTACAGAAAGTGTGTTTGGAAATTGCGCCATCTAAAGGAATGTTCAGCTCTGTTAGTTCAATGCAATGATCACTAAGAATTGTCTGTGAATGCTTCCGTTTGATTTTTAGATGAAGTTATTTCCTTTACTACAGTAGGCCTCAAAGCAGTCCAAATCTCCAATCGCAGATTCTACAAAAAGATTGTTTACAACCTGCTCTATCTATAGGAATGTTCAACTCTGTGAGTCGAATGCAATCATCACAAAGTAGTTTCTGAGAATGCTTCCATCTAGTTTTTATATGAAGAGTTTCCTTTTCCACCACAGGCCTCAAAGCCCTCCAAATGTCCACTTGCAGATTCTAGAAAAAGAGGGTTTCAGAGCTGCTCTGTCAAGAGGAAAGTTCAATTCTTGAAGTGGAACACAAACATCGCAAAGCAGTTTCTGAGAATGCTTCTGTTTAGTTTTTCTGTGAAGATGAACCCGTTTCCAACGAAATCTTCACAGAGGTCCACATATCCACTTGCAGAATCCAAAGAAAGAGAGTTTCAAAACTGCTCCATCAACAGGATTGTTCACCTCTGTGAGTTGAATGCAGTCATCACAGGAAACATTCTGAGAATGCTTCTGTCTAGGTTTGATGTGAAGATATACCCGTTTCGAAGGAAGGCCACAAAGTGGTCCAAATATCCACTTGCAGATTCTACAAAAAGAGTGTTTGAAAGCTGAACTATGAAAGCAAGGTTCAACTCTGTGAGTTGAATGCAAACATCACAAAGAAGTTTCTCACAATGCTTCCGTGTAGTTCTGGGAAGTTTATCCCGTTTCAAACGAAATCCTCAGAGAAGTCCAAATATCCACTTGCAGATTCTACAGAAAGTGTGTTTGGAAACTGCTCCATCTAAAGGAATGTTCAGCTCTGTTAGTTCAATGCAATGATCACTAAGAATTGTCTGTGAATGCTTCCGTTTGGTTTTTAGATGAAGTTATTTCCTTTACTACAGTAGGCCTCAAAGCAGTCCAAATCTCCAATCGCAGATTCTACAAAAAGATTGTGTACAACCTGCTCTATCTATAGGAATGTTCAACTCTGTGAGTCGAATGCAATCATCAAAAAGTAGTTTCTGAGAATGCTTCCATCTAGTTTTTATGTGAAGATTTTCCTTTTCCACCACAGGCCTCAAAGCCCTCCAAATGTCCACTTGCAGATTCTAGAAAAAGAGGGTTTCAGAGCTGCTCTGTCAAGAGGAAAGTTCAATTCTTGAAGTGGAACACAAACATCACAAAGCAGTTTCTGAGAATGCTCCTGTTTAGTTTTTCTGTGAAGATGAACCCGTTTCCAACGAAATCTTCACAGAGGTCCACATATCCACTTGCAGAATCCAAAGAAAGAGAGTTTCAAAACTGCTCCATCAGCAGGATTGTTCACCTCTGTGAGTTGAATGCAGTCATCACAGGAAACATTCCGAGAATGCTTCTGTCTAGGTTTGATGTGAAGATATACCCGTTTCGAAGGAAGGCCACAAAGTGGTCCAAATATCCACTTGCAGATTCTACAAAAAGAGTGTTTGAAAGCTGAACTATGAAAGCAAGGTTCAACTCTGTGAGTTGAATGCAAACATCACAAAGAAGTTTCTCAGAATACTTCCGTGTAGTTCTGGGAACTTTATCCTGTTTCCAACAAAATCCTCAGAGAGGTCCAAATATCCACTTGCAGATTCTACAGAAAGTGTGTTTGGAAACTGCTCCATCTAAAGGAATCTTCAGCTCTGTTAGTTCAATCCAATGATCACTAAGAATTGTCTGTGAATGCCTCCGTTTGGTTTTTAGATGAAGTTATTTCCTTTACTACAGTAGGCCTCAAAGCAGTCCAAATCTCCAATCGCAGATTCTACAAAAAGATTGTTTACAACCTGCTCTATCTATAGGAATGTTCAAATCTGTGAGTCGAATGCAATGATCACAAAGTAGTTTCTGAGAATGCTTCCATCTAGTTTTTATGTGAAGATTTTCCTTTTCCACCACAGGCCTCAAAGCCCTCCAAATGTCCACTTGCAGATTCTAGAAAAAGAGGGTTTCAGAGCTGCTCTGTCAAGAGGAAAGTTCAATTCCTGAAGTGGAACAGAAACATCACAAAGCAGTTTCTGAGAATGCTCCTGTTTAGTTTTTCTGTGAAGATGAACCCGTTTCCAACGAAATCTTCACAGAGGTCCACATATCCACTTGCAGAATCCAAAGAAAGAGAGTTTCAAGACTGCTCCATCAGCAGGATTGTTCACCTCTGTGAGTTGAATGCAGTCATCACAGGAAACATTCTGAGAATGCTTCTGTCTAGGTTTGATGTGAAGATATACCCGTTTCGAAGGAAGGCAACAAAGTGGTCCAAATATCCACTTGCAGATTCTACAAAAAGAGTGTTTGAAAGCTGAACTATGAAAGCAAGGTTCAACTCTGTGAGTTGAATGCAAACATAACAAAGAAGTTTCTCAGAATGCTTCCTTGTAGTTCTGGGAAGTTTATCCCGTTTCCAACGAAATCCTCAGAGAAGTCCAAATATCCACTTGCAGATTCTACAGAAAGTGGGTTTGGAAACTGCTCCATCTAAAGGAATGTTCAGCTCTGTTAGTTCAATCCAATGATCACTAAGAATTGTCTGTGAATGCTTCCGTTTGGTTTTTAGATGAAGTTATTTCCTTTACTACAGTAGGCCTCAAAGCAGTCCAAATCTCCAATCGCAGATTCTACAAAAAGATTGTTTACAACCTGCTCTATCTATAGGAATGTTCAACTCTGTGAGTCAAAAGCAATCATCACAAAGTAGTTTCTGAGAATGCTTCCATCTAGTTTTTATGTGAAGATTTTCCTTTTCCACCACAGGCCTCAAAGCCCTCCAAATGTCCACTTGCAGATTCTAGAATAAGAGGGTTTCAGAGCTGCTCGGTCAAGAGGAAAGTTCAATTCCTGAAGTGAAACACAAACATCACAAAGCAGTTTCTGAGAATGCTTCTGTTTAGTTTTTCTGTGAAGATGAACCCGTTTCCAACGAAATCTTCACAGAGGTCCACATATCCACTTGCAGAATCCAAAGAAAGAGAGTTTCAAAACTGCTCCATCAGCAGGATTGTTCACCTCTGTGAGTTGAATGCAGTCATCACAGGAAACATTCTGAGAATGCTTCTGTCTAGGTTTGATGTGAAGATATACCCTTTTCGAAGGAAGGCCACAAAGTGGTCCAAATATCCACTTGCAGATTCTACAAAAAGAGTGTTTGAAAGCTGAACTATGAAAGCAAGGTGCAAATCTGTGAGTTGAATGCAAACATCACAAAGAAGTTTCTCAGAATGCTTCCCTGTAGTTCTGGGAAGTTTATCCCGTTTCCAACGAAATCCTCAGAAAAGTCCAAATATCCACTTGCAGATTCTACAGAAAGTGTGTTTGGAAACTGCTCCATCTAAAGGAATGTTCAGCTCTGTTAGTTCAATGCAATGATCACTAAGAATTGTCTGTGGATGCTTCCGTTTGGTTTTTAGATGAAGTTATTTCCTTTACTACAGTAGGCCTCAAAGCAGTCCAAATCTTCAATCGCAGATTCTACAAAAAGATTGTTTACAACCTGCTCTATCTATAGGAATGTTCAACTCTGTGAGTCGAATGCAATCATCACAAAGTAGTTTCTGAGAATGCTTCCACCTAGTTTTTATGTGAAGATTTTCCTTTTCCACCACAGGCCTCAAAGCCCTCCAAATGTCCACTTGCAGATTCTAGAAAAAGAGGGTTTCAGAGCTGCTCTGTCAAGAGGAAAGTTCAATTCTTGAAGTGGAACACAAACATCACAAAGCAGTTTCTGAGAATGATCCTGTTTAGTTTTTCTGTGAAGATGAACCCGTTTCCAACGAAATCTTCACAGAGGTCCACATATCCACTTGCAGAATCCAAAGAAAGAGAGTTTCAAAACTGCTCCATCAGCAGGATTGTTCACCTCTGTGAGTTGAATGCAGTCATCACAGGAAACATTCTGAGAATGCTTCTGTCTAGGTTTGATGTGAAGATATACCCGTTTCGAAGGAAGGCCACAAAGCGGTCCAAATATCCACTTGCAGATTCTACAAAAAGAGTGTTTGAAAGCTGAACTATGAAAGCAAGGTTCAACTCTGTGAGTTGAATGCAAACATCACAAAGAAGTTTCTCAGCATGCTTCCGTGTAGTTCTGGGAAGTTTATCCCGTTTCCAACGAAATCCTCAGAGAGGTCCAAATATCCACTTGCAGATTCTACAGAAAGTGTGTTTGGAAACTGCGCCATCTAAAGGAATGTTCAGCTCTGTTAGTTCAATGCAATGATCACTAAGAATTGTCTGTGAATGCTTCCGTTTGGTTTTTAGATGAAGTTATTTCCTTTACTACAGTAGGCCTCAAAGCAGTCCAAATCTCCAATCGCAGATTCTACAAAAAGATTGTTTACAACCTGCTCTACCTATAGGAATGTTCAACTCTGTGAGTCGAATGCAATCATCACAAAGTAGTTTCTGAGAATGCTTCCATCTAGTTTTTATGTGAAGATTTTCCTTTTCCACCACAGGCCTCAAAGCCCTCCAAATGTCCACTTGCAGATTCTAGAAAAAGAGGGTTTCAGAGCTGCTCTGTCAAGAGGAAAGTTCAATTCTTGAAGTGGAACACAAACATCACAAAGCAGTTTCTGAGAATGCTCCTGTTTAGTTTTTCTGTGAAGATGAACCCGTTTCCAACGAAATCTTCAAAGAGGTCCACATATCCACTTGCAGAATCCAAAGAAAGAGAGTTTCAAAACTGCTCCATCAGCAGGATTGTTCACCTCTGTGAGTTGAATGCAGTCATCACAGGAAACATTCTGAGAATGCTTCTGTCTAGGTTTGATGTGAAGATATACCCGTTTCGAAGGAAGGCCACAAAGTGGTCCAAATATCCACTTGCAGATTCTACAAAAAGAGTGTTTGAAAGCTGAACTAAGAAAGCAAGGTTCAACTCTGTGAGTTGAATGCAAACATCACAAAGAAGTTTCTCAGAATGCTTCCGTGTAGTTCTGGGAAGTTTATCCCGTTTCCAACGAAATCCTCAGAGAAGTCCAAATATCCACTTGCAGATTCTACAGAAAGTGTGTTTGGAAACTGCTCCATCTAAAGGAATGTTCAGCTCTGTTAGTTCAATCCAATGATCACTAAGAATTGTCTGTGAATGCTTCCGTTTGGTTTTTAGATGAAGTTATTTCCTTTACTACAGTAGGCCTCAAAGCAGTCCAAATCTCCAATCGCAGATTCTACAAAAAGATTGTTTACAACCTGCTCTATCTATAGGAATGTTCAACTCTGTGAGTCGAATGCAATCATCACAAAGTAGTTTCTGAGAATGCTTCCATCTAGTTTTTATGTGAAGATTTTCCTTTTCCACCACAGGCCTCAAAGCCCTCCAAATGTCCACTTGCAGATTCTAGAATAAGAGGGTTTCAGAGCTGCTCTGTCAAGAGGAAAGTTCAATTCCTGAAGTGGAACACAAACATCACAAAGCAGTTTCCGAGAATGCTTCTGTTTAGTTTTTCTGTGAAGATGAACCCGTTTCCAACGAAATCTTCACAGAGGTCCACATATCCACTTGCAGAATCCAAAGAAAGAGAGTTTCAAAACTGCTCCATCAGCAGGATTGTTCACCTCTGTGAGTTGAATGCAGTCATCACAGGAAACATTCTGAGAATGCTTCTGTATAGGTTTGATGTGAAGATATACCCGTTTCGAAGGAAGGCCACAAAGTGGTCCAAATATCCACTTGCAGATTCTACAAAAAGAGTGTTTGAAAGCTGAACTATGAAAGCAAGGTTCAACTCTGTGAGTTGAATGAAAACATCACAAAGAAGTCTCTCACAATGCTTCCGTGTAGTTCTGGGAAGTTTATCCTGTTTCCAACGAAATCCTCAGAGAGGTCCAAATATCCAGTTGCAGATTCTACAGAAAGTGTGTTTGGAATCTGCTCCATCTAAAGGAATTTTCAGCTCTGTTAGTTCAATCCAATGATCACTAAGAATTGTCTGTGAATGCTTCCGTTTGGTTTTTAGATGAAGTTATTTCCTTTACTACAGTAGGCCTCAAAGCAGTCCAAATCTCCAATCGCAGATTCTAAAAAAAGATTGTTTTCAACCTGCTCTATCTATAGGAATGTTCAACTCTGTGAGTCGAATGCAATCATCACAAAGTAGTTTCTGAGAATGCTTTCATCTAGTTTTTATGTGAAGATTTTCCTTTTCCACCACAGGCCTCAAAGCCCTTCAAATGTCCACTTGCAGATTCTAGAATAAGAGGGTTTCAGAGCTGCTCTGTCAAGAGGAAAGTTCAATTCCTGAAGTGGAACACAAACATCACAAAACAGTTTCTGAGAATGCTTCTGTTTAGTTTTTCTGTGAAGATGAACCCGTTTCCAACGAAATCTTCACAGAGGTCCACATATCCACTTGCAGAATCCAAAGAAAGAGAGTTTCAAAACTGCTCCATCAGCAGGATTGTTCACCTCTGTGAGTTGAATGCAGTCATCACAGGAAACATTCTGAGAATGCTTCTGTCTAGGTTTGATGTGAAGATATACCCGTTTCGAAGGAAGGCCACAAAGTGGTCCAAATATCCACTTGCAGATTCTACAAAAAGAGTGTTTGAAAGCTGAACTATGAAAGCAAGGTTCAACTCTGTGAGTTGAATGCAAACATCACAAAGAAGTTTCTCAGAATGCTTCCGTGTAGTTCTGGGAAGTTTATCCCGTTTCCAACGAAATCCTCAGAGAAGTCCAAATATCCACTTGCAGATTCTACAGAAAGTGGGTTTGGAAACTGCTCCATCTAAAGGAATGTTCAGCTCTGTTAGTTCAATCCAATGATCACTAAGAATTGTCTGTGAATGCTTCCGTTTGGTTTTTAGATGAAGTTATTTCCTTTACTACAGTAGGCCTCAAAGCAGTCCAAATCTCCAATCGCAGATTCTACAAAAAGATTGTTTACAACCTGCTCTATCTATAGGAATGTTCAACTCTGTGAGTCGAATGCAATCATCACAAAGTAGTTTCTGAGAATGCTTCCATCTAGTTTTTATGTGAAGATTTTCCTTTTCCACCACAGGCCTCAAAGCCCTCCAAATGTCCACTTGCAGATTCTAGAAAAAGAGGGTTTCAGAGCTGCTCTGTCAAGAGGAAAGTTCAATTCCTGAAGTGGAACACAAACATCACAAAGCAGTTTCTGAGAATGCTCCTGTTTAGTTTTTCTGTGAAGATGAACCCGTTTCCAACGAAATCTTCACAGAGGTCCACATATCCACTTGCAGAATCCAAAGAAAGAGAGTTTCAAAACTGCTCCATCAGCAGGATTGTTCACCTCTGTGAGTTGAATGCAGTCATCACAGGAAACATTCTGAGAATGCTTCTGTCTAGGTTTGATGTGAAGATATACCCGTTTCGAAGGAAGGCCACAAAGTGGTCCAAATATCCACTTGCAGATTCTACAAAAAGAGTGTTTGAAAGCTGAACTATGAAACCAAGGTTCAACTCTGTGAGTTGAATGCAAACTTCACAAAGAATTTTCTCACAATGCTTCCGTGTAGTTCTGGGAAGTTTATCCCGTTTCCAACGAAATCCTCAGAGAGGTCCAAATATCCACTTGCAGATTCTACAGAAAGTGTGTTTGGAAACTGCGCCATCTAAAGGAATGTTCAGCTCTGTTAGTTCAATGCAATGATCACTAAGAATTGTCTGTGAATGCTTCCGTTTGGTTTTTAGATGAAGTTATTTAATTTACTACAGTAGGCCTCAAAGCAGTCCAAATCTCCAATCGCAGATTCTACAAAAAGATTGTTTACAACCTGCTCTATCTATAGGAATGTTCAACTCTGTGAGTCGAATGCAATCATCCCAAAGTAGTTTCTGAGAATGCTTCCATCTAGTTTTTATGGGAAGATTTTCCTTTTCCACCACAGGCCTCAAAGCCCTCCAAATGTCCACTTGCAGATTCTAGAAAAAGAGGGTTTCAGAGCTGCTCTGTCAAGAGGAAAGTTCAATTCTTGAAGTGGAACACAAACATCACAAAGCAGTTTCTGAGAATGCTTCTGTTTAGTTTTTCTGTGAAGATGAATCCGTTTCCAACGAAATCTTCACAGAGGTCCACATATCCACTTGCAGAATCCAAAGAAAGAGAGTTTCAAAACTGCTCCATCAGCAGGATTGTTCACCTCTGTGAGTTGAATGCAGTCATCACAGGAAACATTCTGAGAATGCTTCTGTCTAGGTTTGATGTGAAGATACACCCTTTTCAAAGGAAGGCCACAAAGTGGTCCAAATATCCACTTGCAGATTCTACAAAAAGAGTGTTTGAAAGCTGAACTATGAAAGCAAGGTTCAACTCTGTGAGTTGAATGCAAACATCACAAAGAAGTTTCTCAGAATGCTTCCGTGTAGTTCTGGGAAGTTTATCCCGTTTCCAACGAAATCCTCAGAGAAGTCCAAATATCCACTTGCAGATTCTACAGAAAGTGGGTTTGGCAACTGCTCCATCTAAAGGAATGTTCAGCTCTGTTAGTTCAATCCAATGATCACTAAGAATTGTCTGTGAATGCTTCCGTTTGGTTTTTAGATGAAGTTATTTCCTTTACTACAGTAGGCCTCAAAGCAATCCAAATCTCCAATCGCAGATTCTACAAAAACATTGTTTACAACCTGCTCTATCTATAGGAATGTTCAACTCTGTGAGTCGAATGCAATCATCACAAAGTAGTTTCTGAGAATGCTTCCATCTAGTTTTTATGTGAAGATTTTCCTTTTCCACCACAGGCCTCAAAGCCCTCCAAATGTCCACTTGCAGATTCTAGAAAAAGAGGGTTTCAGAGCTGCTCTGTCAAGAGGAAAGTTCAATTCTTGAAGTGGAACACAAACATCACAAAGCAGTTTCTGAGAATGCTTCTGTTTAGTTTTTCTGTGAAGATGAACCCGTTTCCAACGAAATCTTCACAGAGGTCCACATATCCACTTGCAGAATCCAAAGAAAGAGAGTTTCAAAACTGCTCCATCAGCAGGATTGTTCACCTCTGTGAGTTGAATGCAGTCATCACAGGAAACATTCTGAGAATGCTTCTGTCTAGGTTTGATGTGAAGATATACCCGTTTCGAAGGAAGGCCACAAAGTGGTCCAAATATCCACTTGCAGATTCTACAAAAAGAGTGTTTGAAAGCTGAACTATGAAAGCAAGGTTCAACTCTGTGAGTTGAATGCAAACATCACAAAGAAGTTTCTCAGCATGCTTCCGTGTAGTTCTGGGAAGTTTATCCCGTTTCCAACGAAATCCTCAGAGAGGTCCAAATATCCACTTGCAGATTCTACAGAAAGTGTGTTTGGAAACTGCTCCATCTAAAGGAATGTTCAGCTCTGTTAGTTCAATGCAATGATCACTAAGAATTGTCTGTGAATGCTTCCGTTTGGTTTTTAGATGAAGTTATTTAATTTACTACAGTAGGCCTCAAAGCAGTCTAAATCTCCAATCGCAGATTCTACAAAAAGATTGTTTACAACCTGCTCTATCTATAGGAATGTTGAACTCTGTGAGTCGAATGCAATCATCACAATGTAGTTTCTGAGAATGCTTCCATCTAGTTTTTATGTGAAGATTTTCCTTTTCCACCACAGGCCTCAAAGCCCTCCAAATGTCCACTTGCAGATTCTAGAAAAAGAGGGTTTCAGAGTTGCTCTATCAAGAAGAAAGTTCAATTCTTGAAGTGGAACACAAACATCACAAAGCAGTTTCTGAGAATGCTTCTGTTTAGTTTTTCTGTGAAGATGAACCCGTTTCCAACGAAATCTTCACAGAGGTCCACATATCCACTTGCAGAATCCAAAGAAAGAGAGTTTCAAAACTGCTCCATCAGCAGGATTGTTCACCTCTGTGAGTTGAATGCAGTCATCACAGGAAACATTCTGAGAATGCTTCTGTCAAGGTTTGATGTGAAGATATACCCGTTTCGAAGGAAGGCCACAAAGTGGTCCATATATCCACTTGCAGATTCTACAAAAAGAGTGTTTGAAAGCTGAACTATGAAAGCAAGGTTCAACTCTGTGAGTTGAATGCAAACATCACAAAGAAGTTTCTCACAATGCTTCCGTGTAGTTCTGGGAAGTTTATCCCGTTTCCAACGAAATCCTCAGAGAAGTCCAAATATCCCCTTGCAGATTCTACAGAAAGTGGGTTTGGAAACTGCTCCATCTAAAGGAATGTTCAGCTCTGTTAGTTCAATCCAATGATCACTAAGAATTGTCTGTGAATGCTTCCGTTTGGTTTTTAGATGAAGTTATTTCCTTTACTACAGTAGGCCTCAAAGCAGTCCAAATCTCCAATCGCAGATTCTACAAAAAGATTGTTTACAACCTGCTCTATCTATAGGAATGTTCAACTCTGTGAGTCGAATGCAATCATCACAAAGTAGTTTCTGAGAATGCTTCCATCTAGTTTTTATGTGAAGATTTTCCTTTTCCACCACAGGCCTCAAAGCCCTCCAAATGTCCACTTGCAGATTCTAGAAAAAGAGGGTTTCAGAGCTGCTCTGTCAAGAGGAAAGTTCAATTCTTGAAGTGGAACACAAACATCACAAAGCAGTTTCTGAGAATGCTCCTGTTTAGTTTTTCTGTGAAGATGAACCTGTTTCCAACGAAATCTTCACAGAGGTCCACATATCCACCTGCAGAATCCAAAGAAAGAGAGTTTCAAAACTGCTCCATCAGCAGGATTGTTCACCTCTGTGAGTTGAATGCAGTCATCACAGGAAACATTCCGAGAATGCTTCTGTCTAGGTTTGATGTGAAGATATACCCGTTTCGAAGGAAGGCCACAAAGTGGTCCAAATATCCACTTGCAGATTCTACAAAAAGAGTGTTTGAAAGCTGAACTATGAAAGCAAGGTTCAACTCTGTGAGTTGAATGCAAACATCACAAAGAAGTTTCTCAGAATGCTTCCGTGTAGTTCTGGGAAGTTTATCCCGTTTCCAACGAAATCCTCAGAGAGGTCCAAATATCCACTTGCAGATTCTACAGAAAGTGTGTTTGGAAACTGCGCCATCTAAAGGAATGTTCAGCTCTGTTAGTTCAATGCAATGATCACTAAGAATTGTCTGTGAATGCTTCCGTTTGGTTTTTAGATGAAGTTATTTCCTTTACTACAGTAGGCCTCAAAGCAGTCCAAATCTCCAATCGCAGATTCTACAAAAAGATTGTTTACAACCTGCTCTATCTATAGGAATGTTCAACTCTGTGAGTCGAATGCAATCATCACAAAGTAGTTTCTGAGAATGCTTCCGTCTAGTTTTTATGTGAAGATTTTCCTTTTCCACCACAGGCCTCAAAGCCCTCCAAATGTCCACTTGCAGATTCTAGAATAAGAGGGTTTCAGAGCTGCTCTGTCAAGAGGAAAGTTCAATTCCTGAAGTGGAACACAAACATCACAAAGCAGTTTCTGAGAATGCTTCTGTTTAGTTTTTCTGTGAAGATGAACCCGTTTCCAACGAAATCTTCACAGAGGTCCACATATCCACTTGCAGAATCCAAAGAAAGAGAGTTTCAAAACTGCTCCATCAGCAGGATTGTTCACCTCTGTGAGTTGAATGCAGTCATCACAGGAAACATTCTGAGAATGCTTCTGTCTAGGTTTTATGTGAAGATATACCCGTTTCGAAGGAAGGCCACAAAGTGGTCCAAATATCCACTTGCAGATTCTACAAAAAGAGTGTTTGAAAGCTGAACTATGAAAGCAAGGTTCAACTCTGTGAGTTGAATGCAAACATCACAAAGAAGTTTCTCAGAATGCTTCCGTGTAGTTCTGGGAAGTTTATCCCGTTTCCAACGAAATCCTCAGAGAGGTCCAAATATCCACTTGCAGATTCTACAGAAAGTGTGTTTGGAAACTGCGCCATCTAAAGGAATGTTCACCTCTGTTAGTTCAATGCAATGATCACTAAGAATTGTCTGTAAATGCTTCCGTTTGGTTTTTAGATGAAGTTATTTCCTTTACTACAGTAGGCCTCAAAGCAGTCCAAATCTCCAATCGCAGATTCTACAAAAAGATTGTTTACAACCTGCTCTATCTATAGGAATGTTCAACTCTGTGAGTCGAATGCAATCATCACAAAGTAGTTTCTGAGAATGCTTCCATCTAGTTTTTATGTGAAGATTTTCCTTTTCCACCACAGGCCTCAAAGCCCTCCAAATGTCCACTTGCAGATTCTAGAAAAAGAGGGTTTCAGAGCTGCTCAGTCAAGAGGAAAGTTCAATTCCTGAAGTGGAACACAAACATCACAAAGCAGTTTCTGAGAATGCTCCTGTTTAGTTTTTCTGTGAAGATGAACCCGTTTCCAACGAAATCTTCACAGAGGTCCACATATCCACTTGCAGAATCCAAAGAAAGAGAGTTTCAAAACTGCTCCATCAGCAGGATTGTTCACCTCTGTGAGTTGAATGCAGTCATCACAGGAAACATTCTGAGAATGCTTCTGTCTAGGTTTGATGTGAAGATATACCCGTTTCGAAGGAAGGCCACAAAGTGGTCCAAATATCCACTTGCAGATTCTACAAAAAGAGTGTTTGAAAGCTGAACTATGAAAGCAAGGTTCAACTCTGTGAGTTGAATGCAAACATCACAAAGAAGTTTCTCACAATGCTTCCGTGTAGTTCTGGGAAGTTTATCCCGTTTCCAACGAAATCCTCAGAGAGGTCCAAATATCCACTTGCAGATTCTACAGAAAGTGTGTTTGGAAACTGCGCCATCTAAAGGAATGTTCAGCTCTGTTAGTTCAATGCAATGATCACTAAGAATTGTCTGTGAATGCTTCCGTTTGGTTTTTAGATGAAGTTATTTCCTTTACTACAGTAGGCCTCAAAGCAGTCCAAATCTCCAATCGCAGATTCTACAAAAAGATTGTTTACAACCTGCTCTATCTATAGGAATGTTCAACTCTGTGAGTCGAATGCAATCATCACAAAGTAGTTTCTGAGAATTCTTCCATCTAGTTTTTATGTGAAGATTTTCCTTTTCCACCACAGGCCTCAAAGCCCTCCAAATGTCCACTTGCAGATTCTAGAAAAAGAGGGTTTCAGAGCTGCTCTGTCAAGAGGAAAGTTCAATTCTTGAAGTGGAACACAAACATCACAAAGCAGTTTCTGAGAATGCTTCTGTTTAGTTTTTCTGTGAAGATGAACCCGTTTCCAACGAAATCTTCACAGAGGTCCACATATCAACTTGCAGAATCCAAAGAAAGAGAGTTTCAAAACTGCTCCATCAACAGGATTGTTCACCTCTGTGAGTTGAATGCAGTCATCACAGGAAACATTCTGAGAATGCTTCTGTCTAGGTTTGATGTGAAGATATACCCGTTTCGAAGGAAGGCCACAAAGTGGTCCAAATATCCACTTGCAGATTCTACAAAAAGAGTGTTTGAAAGCTGAACTATGAAAGCAAGGTTCAACTCTGTGAGATGAATGCAAACATCACAAAGAAGTTTCTCAGAATGCTTCCGTGTAGTTCTGGGAAGTTTATCCCGTTTCCAACGAAATCCTCAGAGAAGTCCAAATATCCACTTGCAGATTCTACAGAAAGTGTGTTTGGAAAATGCTCCATCTAAAGGAATGTTCAGCTCTGTTAGTTCAATCCAATGATCACTAAGAATTGTCTGTGAATGCTTCCGTTTGGTTTTTAGATGAAGTTATTTCCTTTACTACAGTAGGCCTCAAAGCAGTCCAAATCTCCAATCGCAGATTCTACAAAAAGATTGTTTACAACCTGCTCTATCTATAGGAATGTTCAACTCTGTGAGTCGAATGCAATCATCACAAAGTAGTTTCTGAGAATGCTTCCATCTAGTTTTTATGTGAAGATTTTCCTTTTCCACCACAGGCCTCAAAGCCCTCCAAATGTCCACTTGCAGATTCTAGAATAAGAGGGTTTCAGAGCTGCTCTGTCAAGAGGAAAGTACAATTCCTGAAGTGGAACACAAACATCACAAAGCAGTTTCTGAGAATGCTCCTGTTTAGTTTTTCCGTGAAGATGAACCCGTTTCCAACGAAATCTTCACAGAGGTCCACATATCCACTTTCAGAATCCAAAGAAAGAGAGTTTCAAAACTGCTCCATCAGCAGGATTGTTCAACTCTGTTATTTGAATGCAGTCATCACAGGAAACATTCTGAGAATGCTTCTGTCTAGGTTTGATGTGAAGATATACCCGTTTCGAAGGAAGGCCACAATGTGGTCCTAATATCCACTTGCAGATTCTACAGAAAGAGTGTTTCAAAGCTGAACTATGAAAGCAAGGTTCAACTCTGTGAGTTGAATGCAAACATCACAAAGAAGTTTCTCAGAATGCTTCCCTGTAGTTCTGGGAAGCATATCCCGTTTCCAACGAAATCCTCAGAGAAGTCCAAATATCCACTTGCAGATTCTACAGAAAGTGGGTTTGGAAACTGCTCCATCTAAAGGAATGTTCAGCTCTGTTAGTTCAATCCAATGATCACTAAGAATTTTCTGTGAATGCTTCCGTTTGGTTTTTAGATGAAGTTATTTCCTTTACTACAGTAGGCCTCAAAGCAGTCCAAATCTCCAATCGCAGATTCTACAAAAAGATTGTTTACAACCTGCTCTATCTATAGGAATGTTCAACTATGTGAGTCGAATGCAATCATCACAAAGTAGTTTCTGAGAATGCTTCCATAAAGTTTTTATGTGAAAATTTTCCTTTTCCACCACAGGCCTCAAAGCCCTCCAAATGTCCACTTGCAGATTCTAGAAAAAGAGGGTTTCAGAGCTGCTCTGTCAAGAGGAAAGTTCAATTCTTGAAGTGGAACACAAACATCACAAAGCAGTTTCTGAGAATGCTCCTGTTTAGTTTTTCTGTGAAGATGAACCCGTTTCCAACGAAATCTTCACAGAGGTCCACATATCCACTTGCAGAATCCAAAGAAAGAGAGTTTCAAAACTGCTCCATCAGCAGGATTGTTCACCTCTGTGAGTTGAATGCAGTCATCACAGGAAACATTCTGAGAATGCTTCTGTCTAGGTTTGATGTGAAGATATACCCGTTTCGAGGGAAGGCCACAAAGTGGTCCAAATATCCACTTGCAGATTCTACAAAAAGAGGGTTTGAAAGCTGAACTATGAAAGCAAGGTTCAACTCTGTGAGTTGAATGCAAACATCACAAAGAAGTTTCTCACAATGCTTCCGTGTAGTTCTGGGAAGTTTATCCCGTTTCCAACGAAATCCTCAGAGAAGTCCAAATATCCACTTGCAGATTCTTCAGAAAGTGGGTTTGGAAACTGCTCCATCTAAAGGAATGTTCAGCTCTGTTAGTTCAATCCAATGATCACTAAGAATTGTCTGTGAATGCTTCCGTTTGGTTTTTAGATGAAGTTATTTCCTTTACTACAGTAGGCCTCAAAGCAGTCCAAATCTCCAATCGCAGATTCTACAAAAAGATTGTTTACAACCTGCTCTATCTATAGGAATGTTCAACTCTGTGAGTCGAATGCAATCATCACAAAGTAGTTTCTGAGAATGCTTCCATCTAGTTTTTATGTGAAGATTTTCCTTTTCCACCACAGGCCTCAAAGCCCTCCAAATGTCCACTTGCAGATTCTAGAATAAGAGGGTTTCAGAGCTGCTCTGTCAAGAGGAAAGTTCAATTCCTGAAGTCGAACACAAACATCACAAAGCAGTTTCTGAGAATGCTTCTGTTTAGTTTTTCTGTGAAGATGAACCCGTTTCCAACGAAATCTTCACAGAGGTCCACATATCAACTTGCAGAATCCAAAGAAAGAGAGTTTCAAAACTGCTCCATCAACAGGATTGTTCACCTCTGTGAGTTGAATGCAGTCATCACAGGAAACATTCTGAGAATGCTTCTGTCTAGGTTTGATGTGAAGATATACCCGTTTCGAAGGAAGGCCACAAAGTGGTCCAAATATCCACTTGCAGATTCTACAAAAAGAGTGTTTGAAAGCTGAACTATGAAAGCAAGGTTCAACTCTGTGAGTTGAATGCAAACATCACAAAGAAGTTTCTCAGAATGCTTCCGTGTAGTTCTGGGAAGTTTATCCCGTTTCCAACGAAATCCTCAGAGAAGTCCAAATATCCACTTGCAGATTCTACAGAAAGTGCGTTTGGAAAATGCTCCATCTAAAGGAATGTTCAGCTCTGTTAGTTCAATCCAATGATCACTAAGAATTGTCTGTGAATGCTTCCGTTTGGTTTTTAGATGAAGTTATTTCCTTTACTACAGTAGGCCTCAAAGCAGTCCAAATCTCCAATCGCAGATTCTACAAAAAGATTGTTTACAACCTGCTCTATCTATAGGAATGTTCAACTCTGTGAGTCGAATGCAATCATCACAAAGTAGTTTCTGAGAATGCTTCCATCTAGTTTTTATGGGAAGATTTTCCTTTTCCACCACAGGCCTCAAAGCCCTCTAAATGTCCACTTGCAGATTCTAGAAAAAGAGGGTTTCAGAGCTGCTCTGTCAAGAGGAAAGTTCAATTCTTGAAGTGGAACACAAACATCACAAAGTAGTTTCTGAGAATGCTTCTGTTTAGTTTTTCTGTGAAGATGAACCCGTTTCCAACGAAATCTTCACAGAGGTCCACATATCAACTTGCAGAATCCAAAGAAAGAGAGTTTCAAAAGTGCTCCATCAACAGGATTGTTCACCTCTGTGAGTTGAATGCAGTCATCACAGGAAACATTCTGAGAATGCTTCTGTCTAGGTTTGATGTGAAGATATACCCGTTTCGAAGGAAGGCCACAAAGTGGTCCAAATATCCACTTGCAGATTCTACAAAAAGAGTGTTTGAAAGCTGAACTATGAAAGCAAGGTTCAACTCTGTGAGTTGAATGCAAACATCACAAAGAAGTTTCTCAGCATGCTTCCGTGTAGTTCTGGGAAGTTTATCCCGTTTCCAACGAAATCCTCAGAGAAGTCCAAATATCCACTTGCAGATTCTACAGAAAGTGTGTTTGGAAACTGCTCCATCTAAAGGAATGTTCAGCTCTGTTAGTTCAATGCAATGATCACTAAGAATTGTCTGTGAATGCTTCCGTTTGGTTTTTAGATGAAGTTATTTCCTTTACTACAGTAGGCCTCAAAGCAGTCCAAATCTCCAATCGCAGATTCTACAAAAAGATTGTTTACAACCTGATCTATCTATAGGAATGTTCAACTCTGTGAGTCGAATGCAATCATCACAAAGTAGTTTCTGAGAATGCTTCCATCTAGTTTTTATGTGAAGATTTTCCTTTTCCACCACAGGCCTCTAAGCCCTCCAAATGTCCACTTGCAGTTTCTAGAAAAAGAGGGTTTCAGAGCTGCTCTGTCAAGAGGAAAGTTCAATTCTTGAAGTGGAACACAAACATCACAAAGCAGTTTCTGAGAATGCTCCTGTTTAGTTTTTCTGTGAAGATGAACCCGTTTCCAACGAAATCTACACAGAGATCCACATATCCACTTGCACAATCCAAAGAAAGAGAGTTTCAAAACTGCTCCATCAGCAGGATTGTTCACCTCTGTGAGTTGAATGCAGTCATCACAGGAAACATTCTGAGAATGCTTCTGTCTAGGTTTGATGTGAAGATATACCCGTTTCGAAGGAAGGCCACAAAGTGGTCCAAATATCCACTTGCAGATTCTACAAAAAGAGTGTTTGAAAGCTGAACTATGAAAGCAAGGTTCAACTCTGTGAGTTGAATGCAAACATCACAAAGAAGTTTCTCACAATGCTTCCGTGTAGTTCTGGGAAGTTTATCCCGTTTCCAACGAAATCCTCAGAGAAGTCCAAATATCCACTTGCAGATTCTACAGAAAGTGTGTTTGGAAACTGCTCCATCTAAAGGAATGTTCAGCTCTGTTAGTTCAATCCAATGATCACTAAGAATTGTCTGTGAATGCTTCCGTTTGGTTTTTAGATGAAGTTATTTCCTTTACTACAGTAGGCCTCAAAGCAGTCCAAATCTCCAATCGCAGATTCTACAAAAAGATTGTTTACAACCTGCTCTATCTATAGGAATGTTCAACTCTGTGAGTCGAATGCAATCATCACAAAGTAGTTTCTGAGAATGCTTCCATCTAGTTTTTATGTGAAGATTTTCCTTTTCCACCACAGGCCTCAAAGCCCTCCAAATGTCCACTTGCAGATTCTAGAAAAAGAGGGTTTCAGAGCTACTCTGTCAAGAGGAAAGTTCAATTCCTGAAGTGGAACACAAACATCACAAAGCAGTTTCTGAGAATGCTCCTGTTTAGTTTTTCTGTGAAGATGAACCCATTTCCAACGAAATCTTCACAGAGGTCCACATATCCACCTGCAGAATCCAAAGAAAGAGAGTTTCAAAACTGCTCCATCAGCAGGATTGTTCACCTCTGTGAGTTGAATGCAGTCATCACAGGAAACATTCTGAGAATTCTTCTGTCTAGGTTTGATGTGAAGATATACCCGTTTCGAAAGAAGGCCACAAAGTGGTCAAAATATCCACTTGCAGATTCTACAAAAAGAGTGTTTGAAAGCTGAACTATGAAAGCACGGTTCAACTCTGTGAGTTGAATGCAAACATCACAAAGAAGTTTCTCACAATGCTTCCGTGTAGTTCTGGGAAGTTTATCCCGTTTCCAACGAAATCCTCAGAGAGGTCCAAATATCCACCTGCAGATTCTACAGAAAGTCTGTTTGGAAACTGCGCCATCTAAACGAATGTTCAGCTGTGTTAGTTCAATGCAATGATCACTAAGAATTGTCTGTGAATGCTTCCGTTTGGTTTTTAGATGAAGTTATTTCCTTTACTACAGTAGGCCTCAAAGCAGTCCAAATCTCCAATCGGAGATTCTACAAAAAGATTGTTTACAACCTGCTCTATCTATACGAATGTTCAACTCTGTGAGTCGAATGCAATCATCACAAAGTAGTTTCTGAGAATGCTTCCATCTAGTTTTTATGTGAAGATTTTCCTTTTCCGCCACATGCCTCAAAGCCCTCCAAATGTCCACTTGCAGATTCTAGAAAAAGAGGGTTTCAGAGCTGGTCTGTCAAGAGGAAAGTTCAATTCTTGAAGTGGAACACAAACATCACAAAGTAGTTTCTGAGAATGCTCCTGTTTAGTTTTTCTGTGAAGATGGACCCGTTTCCAACGAAATCTTCACAGAGATCCACATATCCACTTGCAGAATCCAAAGAAAGAGAGTTTCAAAAGTGCTCCATCAACAGGATTGTTCACCTCTGTGAGTTGAATGCAGTCATCACAGGAAACATTCTGAGAATGCTTCTGTCTAGGTTTGATGTGAAGATATACCCGTTTCGAAGGAAGGCCACAAAGTGGTCCAAATATCCACTTGCAGATTCTACAAAAAGAGTGTTTGAAAGCTGAACTATGAAAGCAAGGTTCAACTCTGTGAGTTGAATGCAAACATCACAAAGAAGTTTCTCACAATGCTTCCGTGTAGTTCTGGGAAGTTTATCCCGTTTCCAACGAAATCCTCAGAGAAGTCCAAATATCCACTTGCAGATTCTACAGAAAGTGGGTTTGGAAACTGCTCCATCTAAAGGAATGTTCAGCTCTGTTAGTTCAATCCAATGATCACTAAGAATTGTCTGTGAATGCTTCCGTTTGGTTTTTAGATGAAGTTATTTCCTTTACTACAGTAGGCCTCAAAGCAGTCCAAATCTCCAATCGCAGATTCTACAAAAAGATTGTTTACAACCTGCTCTATGTATAGGAATGTTCAACTCTGTGAGTCGAATGCAATCATCACAAAGTAGTTTCTGAGAATGCTTCCATCTAGTTTTTATGTGAAGATTTTCCTTTTCCACCACAGGCCTCAAAGCCCTCCAAATGTCCACTTGCAGATTCTAGAAAAAGAGGGTTTCAGAGCTGCTCTGTCAAGAGGAAAGTTCAATTCTTGAAGTGGAACAGAAACATCACAAAGCAGTTTCTGGGAATGCTCCTGTTTAGTTTTTCTGTGAAGATGAACCCGTTTCCAACGAAATCTTCACAGAGGTCCACATATCCACTTGCAGAATCCAAAGAAAGAGAGTTTCAAAACTGCTCCATCAGCAGGATTGTTCACCTCTGTGAGTTGAATGCAGTCATCACAGGAAACATTCTGAGAATGCTTCTGTCTAGGTTTGATGTGAAGATATACCCGTTTCGAAGGAAGGCCACAAAGTGGTCCAAATATCCACTTGCAGATTCTATAAAAAGAGTGTTTGAAAGCTGAACTATGAAAGCAAGGTTCAACTCTGTGAGTTGAATGCAAACATCACAAAGAAGTTTCTCACAATGCTTCCGTGTAGTTCTGGGAAGTTTATCCCGTTTCCAACGAAATCCTCAGAGAGGTCCAAATATCCACTTGCAGATTCTACAGAAAGTGTGTTTGGAAACTGCGCCATCTAAAGGAATGTTCAGCTCTGTTAGTTCAATGCAATGATCACTAAGAATTGTCTGTGAATGCTTCCGTTTGGTTTTTAGATGAAGTTATTTCCTTTACTACAGTAGGCCTCAAAGCAGTCCAAATCTCCAATCGCAGATTCTACAAAAAGATTGTTTACAACCTGCTCTATGTATAGGAATGTTCAACTCTGTGAGTCGAATGCAATCATCACAAAGTAGTTTCTGAGAATGCTTCCATCTAGTTTTTATGTGAAGATTTTCCTTTTCCACCACAGGCCTCAAAGCCCTCCAAATGTCCACTTGCAGATTCTAGAATAAGAGGGTTTTAGAGCTGCTCTGTCAAGAGGAAAGTTCAATTCCTGAAGTGGAACACAAACATCACAAAGCAGTTTCTGAGAATGCTTCTGTTTAGTTTTTCTGTGAAGATGAACCCGTTTCCAACGAAATCTTCACAGAGGTCCACATATCCACTTGCAGAATCCAAAGAAGGAGAGTTTCAAAACTGCTCCATCAGCAGGATTGTTCACCTCTGTGAGTTGAATGCAGTCATCACAGGAAACATTCTGAGAATGCTTCTGTCTAGGTTTGATGTGAAGATATACCCGTTTCGAAGGAAGGCCACAAAGTGGTCCAAATATCCACTTGCAGATTCTACAAAAAGAGTGTTTGAAAGCTGAACTATGAAAGCAAGGTTCAACTCTGTGAGTTGAATGCAAACATCACAAAGAAGTTTCTCAGAATGCTTCCGTGTAGTTCTGGGAAGTTTATCCCGTTTCCAACGAAATCCTCAGAGAAGTCCAAATATCCACTTGCAGATTCTACAGAAAGTGTGTTTGGAAACTGCGCCATCTAAAGGAATGTTCAGCTCTGTTAGTTCAATCCAATGATCACTAAGAATTGTCTGTGAATGCTTCCGTTTGGTTTTTAGATGAAGTTATTTCCTTTACTACAGTAGGCCTCAAAGGAGTCCAAATCTCTAATCGCAGATTCTACAAAGAGATTGTTTACAACCTGCTCTCTCTATAGGAATGTTCAACTCTGTGAGTCGAATGCAATCATCACAAAGTAGTTTCTGAGAATGCTTCCATCTAGTTTTTATGTGAAGATTTTCCTTTTCCACCACAGGCCTCAAAGCCCTCCAAATGTCCACTTGCAGACTCTAGAAAAAGAGGGTTTCAGAGCTGCTCTGTCAAGAGGAAAGTTCAATTCTTGAAGTGGAACACAAACATCACAAAGCAGTTTCTGAGAATGCTCCTGTTTAGTTTTTCTGTGAAGATGAACCCGTTTCCAACGAAATCTTCACAGAGGTCCACATATCCACTTGCAGAATCCAAAGAAAGAGAGTTTCAAAACTGCTCCATCAGCAGGATTGTTCACCTCTGTGAGTTGAATGCAGTCATCACAGGAAACATTCTGAGAATGCTTCTGTCTAGGTTTGATGTGAAGATATACCCGTTTCGAAGGAAGGCCACAAAGTGGTCCAAATATCCACTTGCAGATTCTACAAAAAGAGTGTTTGAAAGCTGAACTATGAAAGCAAGGTTCAACTCTGTGAGTTGAATGCAAACATCACAAAGAAGTTTCTCACAATGCTTCCGTGTAGTTCTGGGAAGTTTATCCCGTTTCCAACGAAATCCTCAGAGAGGTCCAAATATCCACTTGCAGATTCTACAGAAAGTGTGTTTGGAAACTGCTCCATCTAAAGGAATGTTCAGCTCTGTTAGTTCAATCCAATGATCACTAAGAATTGTCTGTGAATGCTTCCGTTTGGTTTTTAGATGAAGTTATTTCCTTTACTACAGTAGGCCTCAAAGCAGTCCAAATCTCCAATCGCAGATTCTACAAAAAGATTGTTTACAACCTGCTCTATCTATAGGAATGTTCAACTCTGTGAGTCGAATGCAATCATCACAAAGTAGTTTCTGAGAATGCTTCCATCTAGTTTTTATGTGAAGATTTTCCTTTTCCACCACAGGCCTCAAAGCCCTCCAAATGTCCACTTGCAGATTCTAGAAAAAGAGGGTTTCAGAGCTGCTCTGTCAAGAGGAAAGTTCAATTCTTGAAGTGGAACACAAACATCACAAAGCAGTTTCTGAGAATGCTTCTGTTTAGTTTTTCTGTGAAGATGAACCCGTTTCCAACGAAATCTTCACAGAGGTCCACATATCCACTTGCAGAATCCAAAGAAAGAGAGTTTCAAAACTGCTCCATCAGCAGGATTGTTCACCTCTGTGAGTTGAATGCAGTCATCACAGGAAACATTCTGAGAATGCTTCTGTCTAGGTTTGATGTGAAGATATACCCGTTTCGAAGGAAGGCCACAAAGTGGTCCAAATATCCACTTGCAGATTCTACAAAAAGAGTGTTTGAAAGCTGAACTATGAAAGCAAGGTTCAACTCTGTGAGTTGAATGCAAACATCACAAAGAAGTTTCTCAGAATGCTTCCGTGTAGTTCTGGGAAGTTTATCCCGTTTCCAACGAAATCCTCAGAGAGGTCCAAATATCCACTTGCAGATTCTACAGAAAGTGTGTTTGGAAACTGCGCCATCTAAAGGAATGTTCAGCTCTGTTAGTTCAATGCAATGATCACTAAGGATTGTCTGTGAATGCTTCCGTTTGGTTTTTAGATGAAGTTATTTCCTTTACTACAGTAGGCCTCAAAGCAGTCCAAATCTCCAATCGCAGATTCTACAAAAAGATTGTTTACAACCTGCTCTATCTATAGGAATGTTCAACTCTGTGAGTCGAATGCAATCATCACAAAGTAGTTTCTGAGAATGCTTCCATCTAGTTTTTATGTGAAGATTTTCCTTTTCCACCACAGGCCTCAAAGCCCTCCAAATGTCCACTTGCAGATTCTAGAATAAGAGGGTTTCAGAGCTGCTCTGTCAAGAGGAAAGTTCAATTCCTGAAGTGGAACACAAACATCACAAAGCAGTTTCCGAGAATGCTTCTGTTTAGTTTTTCTGTGAAGATGAACCCGTTTCCAACGAAATTTTCACAGAGGTCCACATATCCACTTGCAGAATCCAAAGGAAGAGAGTTTCAAAACTGCTCCATCAGAAGGATTGTTCACCTCTGTGAGTTGAATGCAGTCATCACAGGAAACATTCTGAGAATGCTTCTGTCTAGGTTTGATGTGAAGATATACCCGTTTCGAAGGAAGGCCACAAAGTGGTCCAAATATCCACTTGCAGATTCTACAAAAAGAGTGTTTGAAAGCTGAACTATGAAAGCAAGGTTCAACTCTGTGAGTTGAATGCAAACATCACAAAGAAGTTTCTCAGAATGCTTCCGTGTAGTTCTGGGAAGTTTATCCCGTTTCCAACGAAATCCTCAGAGAGGTCCAAATATCCACTTGCAGATTCTACAGAAAGTGTGTTTGGAAACTGCGCCATCTAAGGGAATGTTCAGCTCTGTTAGTTCAATCCAATGATCACTAAGAATTGTCTGTGAATGCTTCCGTTTGGTTTTTAGATGAAGTTATTTCCTTTACTACAGTAGGCCTCAAAGCAGTCCAAATCTCCAATCGCAGATTCTACAAAAAGATTGTTTACAACCTGCTCTATGTATAGGAATGTTCAACTCTGTGAGTCGAATGCAATCATCACAAAGTAGTTTCTGAGAATGCTTCCATCTAGTTTTTATGTGAAGATTTTCCTTTTCCACCACAGGCCTCAAAGTCCTCCAAATGTACACTTGCTGATTCTAGAAAAAGAGGGTTTCAGAGCTGCTCTGTCAAGAGGAAAGTTCAATTCTTGAAGTGGAACACAAACATCACAAAGCAGTTTCTGAGAATGCTCCTGTTTAGTTTTTCTGTGAAGATGAACCCGTTTCCAACGAAATCTTCACAGAGGTCCACATATCCACTTGCAGAATCCAAAGAAAGAGAGTTTCAAAACTGCTCCATCAGCAGGATTGTTCACCTCTGTGAGTTGAATGCAGTCATCACAGGAAACATTCTGAGAATGCTTCCTGTCTAGGTTTGATGTGAAGATATACCCGTTTCGAAGGAAGGCCACAAAGTGGTCCAAATATCCACTTGCAGATTCTACAAAAAGAGTGTTTGAAAGCTGAACTATGAAAGCAAGGTTCAACTCTGTGAGTTGAATGCAAACATCACAAAGAAGTTTCTCAGAATGCTTCCGTGTAGTTCTGGGAAGTTCAGCCCGTTTTCAATGAAATCCTCAGAGAGGTCCAAATATCCAGTTGCAGATTCTACAGAAAATGTGTTTGGAAACTGCGCCATCTAAAGGAATGTTCAGCTCTGTTAGTTCAATCCAATGATCACTAAGAATTGTCTGTGAATGCTTCCGTTTGGTTTTTAGATGAAGTTATTTCCTTTATTACAGTAGGCCTCAAAGCAGTCCAAATCTCCAATCGCAGATTCTACAAAAAGATTGTTTACAACCTGCTCTATCTATAGGAATGTTCAACTCTGTGAGTCGAATGCAATCATCACAAAGTAGTTTCTGAGAATGCTTCCATCTAGTTTTTATGTGAAGATTTTCCTTTTCCACCACAGGCCTCAAAGCCCTCCAAATGTCCACTTGCAGATTCTAGAAAAAGAGGGTTTCAGAGCTGCTCTGTCAAGAGGAAAGTTCAATTCTTGAAGTGGAACACAAACATCACAAAGCAGTTTCTGAGAATGCTTCTGTTTAGTTTTTCTGTGAAGATGAACCCGTTTCCAACGAAATCTTCACAGAGGTCCACATATCCACTTGCAGAATCCAAAGAAAGAGAGTTTCAAAACTGCTCCAACAGCAGGATTGTTCACCTCTGTGAGTTGAATGCAGTCATCACAGGAAACATTCTGAGAATGCTTCTGTCTAGGTTTGATGTGAAGATATACCCGTTTCGAAGGAAGGCCACAAAGTGGTCCAAATATCCACTTGCAGACTCTACAAAAAGAGTGTTTGAAAGCTGAACTATGAAAGCAAGGTTCAACTCTGTGAGTTGAATGCAAACATCACAAAGAAGTTTCTCAGAATGGTTCCGTGTAGTTCTGGGAAGTTTATCCCGTTTCCAACGAAATCCTCAGAGAGGTCCAAATATCCACTTGCAGATTCTACAGAAAGTGTGTTTGGAAACTGCTCCATCTAAAGGAATATTCAGCTCTGTTAGTTCAATGCAATGATCACTAAGAATTGTCTGTGAATGCTTCCGTTTGGTTTTTAGATGAAGTTATTTCCTTTACTACAGTAGGCCTCAAAGCAGTCCAAATCTCCAATCGCAGATTCTACAAAAAGATTGTTTACAACCTGCTCTATCTATAGGAATGTTCAACTCTGTGAGTCGAATGCAATCATCACAAAGTAGTTTCTGAGAATGCTTCCATCTAGTTTTTATGTGAAGATTTTCCTTTTCCACCACAGGCCTCAAAGGCCCTCCAAATGTCCACTTGCAGATTCTAGAATAAGAGGGTTTCAGAGCTGCTCGGTCAAGAGGAAAGTTCAATTCTTGAAGTGGAACACAAACATCACAAAGCAGTTTCTGAGAATGCTTCTGTTTAGTTTTTCTGTGAAGATGAACCCGTTTCCAACGAAATCTTCACAGAGGTCCACATATCCACTTGCAGAATCCAAAGAAAGAGAGTTTCAAAACTGCTCCATCAGCAGGATTGTTCACCTCTGTGAGTTGAATGCAGTCATCACAGGAAACATTCTGAGAATGCTTCTGTCTAGGTTTGATGTGAAGATATACCCGTTTCGAAGGAAGGCCACAAAGTGGTCCAAATATCCACTTTCTGTAGATTCTACAAAAAGAGTGTTTGAAAGCTGAACTATGAAAGCAAGGTTCAACTCTGTGAGTTGAATGCAAACATCACAAAGAAGTTTCCTCAGAATGCTTCCGTGTAGTTCTGGGAAGTTTATCCCGTTTCCAACGAAATCCTCAGAGGAGGTCCAAATATCCACTTGCAGATTCTACAGAAAGTGTGTTTGGAAACTGCGCCATCTAAAGGAATGTTCAGCTCTGTTAGTTCAATGCAATGATCACTAAGAATTGTCTGTGAATGCTTCCGTTTGGTTTTTAGATGAAGTTATTTCCTTTACTACAGTAGGCCTCAAAGCAGTCCAAATCTCCAATCGCAGATTCTACAAAAAGATTGTTTACAACCTGCTCTATCTATAGGAATGTTCAACTCTGTGAGTCGAATGCAATCATCACAAAGTAGTTTCTGAGAATGCTTCCATCTAGTTTTTATGTGAAGATTTTCCTTTTCCACCACAGGCCTCAAAGCCCTCCAAATGTCCACTTGCAGATTCTAGAAAAAGAGGGTTTCAGAGCTGCTCTGTCAAGAGGAAAGTTCAATTCTTGAAGTGGAACACAAACATCACAAAGCAGTTTCTGAGAATGCTCCTGTTTAGTTTTTCTGTGAAGATGAACCCGTTTCCAACGAAATCTTCACAGAGGTCCACATATCCACTTGCAGAATCCAAAGAAAGAGAGTTTCAAAACTGCTCCATCAGCAGGATTGTTCACCTCTGTGAGTTGAATGCAGTCATCACAGGAAACATTCTGAGAATGCTTCTGTCTAGGTTTGATGTGAAGATATACCCGTTTCGAAGGAAGGCCACAAAGTGGTCCAAATATCCACTTGCAGATTCTACAAAAAGAGTGTTTGAAAGCTGAACTATGAAAGCAAGGTTCAACTCTGTGAGTTGAATGCAAACATCACAAAGAAGTTTCTCAGAATGCTTCCGTGTAGTTCTGGGAAGTTTATCCCGTTTCCAACGAAATCCTCAGAGAAGTCCAAATATCCACTTGCAGATTCTACAGAAATTGTGTTTGGAAACTGCTCCATCTAAAGGAATGTTCAGCTCTGTTAGTTCAATCCAATGATCACTAAGAATTGTCTGTGAATGCTTCCGTTTGGTTTTTAGATGAAGTTATTTCCTTTACTACAGTAGGCCTCAAAGCAGTCCAAATCTCCAATCGCAGATTCTACAGAAAGATTGTTTACAACCTGCTCTATCTATAGGAATGTTCAACTCTGTGAGTCGAATGCAATCATCACAAAGTAGTTTCTGAGAATGCTTCCATCTAGTTTTTATGTGAAGATTTTCCTTTTCCACCACAGGCCTCAAAGCCCTCCAAATGTCCACTTGCAGATTCTAGAATAAGAGGTTTTCAGAGCTGCTCTGTCAAGAGGAAAGTTCAATTCCTGAAGTGGAACAAAAACATCACAAAGCAGTTTCTGAGAATGCTTCTGTTTAGTTTTTTCTGTGAAGATGAACCCGTTTCCAACGAAATCTTCACAGAGGTCCACATATCCACTTGCAGAATCCAAAGAAAGAGAGTTTCAAAACTGCTCCATCAGCAGGATTGTTCACCTCTGTGAGTTGAATGCAGTCATCACAGGAAACATTCTGAGAATGCTTCTGTCTAGGTTTGATGTGAAGATATACCCGTTTCGAAGGAAGGCCACAAAGTGGTCCAAATATCCACTTGCAGATTCTACAAAAAGAGTGTTTGAAAGCTGAACTATGAAAGCAAGGTTCAACTCTGTGAGTTGAATGCAAACATCACAAAGAAGTTTCTCAGAATGCTTCCGTGTAGTTCTGGGAAGTTTATCCCGTTTCCAACGAAATCCTCAGAGAGGTCCAAATATCCACTTGCAGATTCTACAGAAAGTGTGTTTGGAAACTGCGCCATCTAAGGGAATGTTCAGCTCTGTTAGTTCAATCCAATGATCACTAAGAATTGTCTGTGAATGCTTCCGTTTGGTTTTTAGATGAAGTTATTTCCTTTACTACAGTAGGCCTCAAAGCAGTCCAAATCTCCAATCGCAGATTCTGCAAAAAGATTGTTTACAACCTGCTCTATCTATAGGAATGTTCAACTCTGTGAGTCGAATGCAATCATCACAAAGTAGTTTCTGAGAATGCTTCCATCTAGTTTTTATGTGAAGATTTTCCTTTTCCACCACAGGCCTCAAAGCCCTCCAAATGTCCACTTGCAGATTCTAGAAAAAGAGGGTTTCAGACCTGCTCTGTCAAGAGGAAAGTTCAATTCTTGAAGTGGAACACAAACATCACAAAGCAGTTTCTGAGAATGCTTCTGTTTAGTTTTTCTGTGAAGATGAACCCGTTTCCAACGAAATCTTCACAGAGGTCCACATATCAACTTGCAGAATCCAAAGAAAGAGAGTTTCAAAAGTGCTCCATCAACAGGATTGTTCACCTCTGTGAGTTGAATGCAGTCATCACAGGAAACATTCTGAGAATGCTTCTGTCTAGGTTTGATGTGAAGATATACCCGTTTCGAAGGAAGGCCACAAAGTGGTCCAAATATCCACTTGCAGATTCTACAAAAAGAGTGTTTGAAAGCTGAACTATGAAAGCAAGGTTCAACTCTGTGAGTTGAATGCAAACATCACAAAGAAGTTTCTCAGCATGCTTCCGTGTAGTTCTGGGAAGTTTATCCCGTTTCCAACGAAATCCTCAGAGAGGTCCAAATATCCACTTGCAGATTCTACAGAAAGTGTGTTTGGAAACTGCGCCATCTAAAGCAATGTTCAGCTCTGTTAGTTCAATGCAATGATCACTAAGAATTGTCTGTGAATGCTTCCCGTTTGGTTTTTAGATGAAGTTATTTCCTTTACTACAGTAGGCCTCAAAGCAGTCGAAATCTCCAATCGCAGATTCTACAAAAAGATTGTTTACAACCTGCTCTATCTATAGGAATGTTCAACTCTGTGAGTCGAATGCAATCATCACAAAGTAGTTTGTGAGAATGCTTCAATCTAGTTTTTATGTGAAGAGTTTCCTTTTCCACCACAGGCCTCAAAGCCCTCCAAATGTCCACTTGCAGATTCTAGAAAAAGAGGGTTTCAGAGCTGCTCTGTCAAGAGAAAAGTTCAATTCTTGAAGTGGAACACAAACATCACAAAGCAGTTTCTGAGAATGCTTCTGTTTAGTTTTTCTGTGAAGATGAAACCGTTTCCAACGAAATCTTCACAGAGGTCCACATATCCACTTGCAGAATCCAAAGAAAGAGAGTTTCAAAACTGCTCCATCAGCAGGATTGTTCACCTCTGTGAGTTGAATGCAGTCATCACAGGAAACATTCTGAGAATGCTTCTGTCTAGGTTTGATGTGAAGATATACCCGTTTCGAAGGAAGGCCACAAAGTGGTCCAAATATCCACTTGCAGAGTCTACAAAAAGAGTGTTTGAACGCTGAACTATGAAAACAAGGTTCAACTCTGTGAGTTGAATGCAAACATCACAAAGAAGTTTCTCAGAAGGCTTCCGTGTAGTTCTGGGAAGTTTATCCCGTTTCCAACGAAATCCTCAGAGAAGTCCAAATATCCACTTGCAGATTCTACAGAAAGTGGGTTTGGAAACTGCTCCATCTAAAGGAATGTTCAGCTCTGTTAGTTCAATCCAATGATCACTAAGAATTGTCCGTGAATGCTTCCATTTTGGTTTTTAGATGAAGTTATTTCCTTTACTACAGTAGGCCTCAAAGCAGTCCAAATCTCCAATCGCAGATTCTACAAAAAGATTGTTTACAACCTGCTCTATCTATAGGAATGTTCAACTCTGTGAGTCGAATGCAATCATCACAAAGTAGTTTCTGAGAATGCTTCCATCTAGTTTTTATGTGAAGATTTTCCTTTTCCACCACAGGCCTCAAAGCCCTCCAAATGTCCACTTGCAGATTCTAGAATAAGAGGGTTTCAGAGCTGGTCTGTCAAGAGGAAAGTTCAATTCCTGAAGTGGAACACAAACATCACAAAGCAGTTTCTGAGAATGCTCCTGTTTAGTTTTTCTGTGAAGATGAACCCGTTTCCAACGAAATCTTCACAGAGGTCTACATATCCACTTGCAGAATCCAAAGAAAGAGAGTTTCAAAACTGCTCCATCAGCAGGATTGTTCACCTCTGTGAGTTGAATGCAGTCATCACAGGAAACATTCTGAGAATGCTTCTGTCTAGGTTTGATGTGAAGATATACCCGTTTCGAAGGAAGGCCACAAAGTGGTCCAAATATCCACTTGCAGATTCTACAAAAAGAGTGTTTGAAAGCTGAACTATGAAAGCAAGGTTCAACTCTGTGAGTTGAATGAAAACATCACAAAGAAGTTTCTCAGAATGCTTCCGTGTAGTTCTGGGAAGTTTATCCCGTTTCCAACGAAATCCTCAGAGAAGTCCAAATATCCACTTGCAGATTCTACAGAAAGTGTGTTTGGAAACTGCTCCATCTAAAGGAATGTTCAGCTCTGTTAGTTCAATCCAATGATCACTAAGAATTGTCTGTGAATGCTTCCGTTTGGTTTTTAGATGAAGTTATTTCCTTTACTACAGTAGGCCTCAAAGCAGTCGAAATCTCCAATCACAGATTCTACAAAAAGAATGTTTACAACCTACTCTATCTATACGAATGTTCAACTCTGTGAGTCGAATGCAATCATCACAAAGGAGTTTGTGAGAATGCTTCCATCTAGTTTTTATGTGAAGATTTTCCTTTTCCACCACAGGCCTCAAATCCCTCCAAATGTCCACTTTCAGATTCTAGAAAAAGAGGGTTTCAGAGCTGCTCTGTCAAGAGGAAAGTTCAATTCTTGAAGTGGAACACAAACATCACAAAGCAGTTTCTGAGAATGCTTCTGTTTAGTTTTTCTGTGAAAATGAACCCGTTTCCAACGAAATCTTCACAGAGGTCCACATATCCACTTGCAGAATCCAAAGAAAGAGAGTTTCAAAACTGCTCCTTCAACAGGATTGTTCACCTCTGTGAGTTGAATGCAGTCATCACAGGAAACATTCTGAGAATGCTTCTGTCTAGGTTTGATGTGAAGATATACCCGTTTCGAAGGAAGGCCACAAAGTGGTCCAAATATCCACTTGCAGATTCTACAAAAAGAGTGTTTGAAAGCTGAACTATGAAAGCAAGTTTCAACTCTGTGAGTTGAATGAAAACATCACAAAGAAGTTTCTCACAATGCTTCCGTGTAGTTCTGGGAAGTTTATCCCGTTTCCAACGAAATCCTCAGAGAAGTCCAAATATCCACTTGCAGATTCTACAGAAAGTGGGTTTGGAAACTGCTCCATCTAAAGGAATGTTCAGCTCTGTTAGTTCAATGCAATGATCACTAAGAATTGTCTGTGAATGCTTCCGTTTGGTTTTTAGATGAAGTTATTTCCTTTACTACAGTAGGCCTCAAAGCAGTCCAAATCTCCAATCGCAGATTCTACAAAAAGATTGTTTACAACCTGCTCTATCTATAGGAATGTTCAACTCTGTGAGTCGAATGCAATCATCACAAAGTAGTTTCTGAGAATGCTTCCATAAAGTTCTTATGTGAAGATTTTCCTTTTCCACCACAGGCCTCAAAGCCCTCCAAATGTCCACTTGCAGATTCTAGAAAAAGAGGGTTTCAGAGCTGCTCTGTCAAGAGGAAAGTTCAATTCTTGAAGTGGAACACAAACATCACAATGCAGTTTCTGAGAATGCTCCTGTTTAGTTTTTCTGTGAAGATGAACCCGTTTCCAACGAAATCTTCACAGAGGTCCACATATCCACTTGCAGAATCCAAAGAAAGAGAGTTTCAACACTGCTCCATCAGCAGGATTGTTCACCTCTGTGAGTTGAATGCAGTCATCACAGGAAACATTCTGAGAATGCTTCTGTCTAGGTTTGATGTGAAGATATACCCGTTTCGAAGGAAGGCCACAAAGTGGTCCAAATATCCACTTGCAGATTCTACAAAAAGAGTGTTTGAAAGCTGAACTATGAAAGCAAGGTTCAACTCTGTGAGTTGAATGCAAACATCACAAAGAAGTTTCTCACAATGCTTCCGTGTAGTTCTGGGAAGTTTATCCCGTTTCCAACGAAATCCTCAGAGAAGTCCAAATATCCACTTGCAGATTCTACAGAAAGTGTGTTTGGAAACTGCTCCATCTAAAGGAATGTTCAGCTCTGTTAGTTCAATCCAATGATCACTAAGAATTGTCTGTGAATGCTTCCGTTTGGTTTTTAGATGAAGTTATTTCCTTTACTACAGTAGGCCTCAAAGCAGTCCAAATCTCCAATCGCAGATTCTACAAAAAGATTGTTTACAACCTGCTCTATCTATAGGAATGTTCAACTCTGTGAGTCGAATGCAATCATCACAAAGTAGTTTCTGAGAATGCTTCCATCTAGTTTTTATGTGAAGATTTTCCTTTTCCACCACAGGCCTCAAAGCCCTCCAAATGTCCACTTGCAGATTCTAGAAAAAGAGGGTTTCAGAGCTGCTCTGTCAAGAGGAAAGTTCAATTCTTGAAGTGGAACACAAACATCACAAAGCAGTTTCTGAGAATGCTCCTGTTTAGTTTTTCTGTGAAGATGAACCCGTTTCCAACGAAATCTTCACAGAGGTCCACATATCCACTTGCAGAATCCAAAGAAAGAGAGTTTCAAAACTGCTCCATCAGCAGGATTGTTCACCTCTGTGAGTTGAATGCAGTCATCACAGGAAACATTCTGAGAATGCTTCTGTCTAGGTTTGATGTGAAGATATACCCTTTTCGAAGGAAGGCCACAAAGTGTTCCAAATATCCACTTGCAGATTCTACAAAAAGAGTGTTTGAAAGCTGAACTACGAAAGCAAGGTTCAACTCTGTGAGTTGAATGCAAACATCACAAAGAAGTTTCTCAGAATGCTTCCGTGTAGTTCTGGGAAGTTTATCCCGTTTCCAACGAAATCCTCAGAGAAGTCCAAATATCCACTTGCAGATTCTACAGAAAGTGTGTTTGGAAAATGCTCCATCTAAAGGAATGTTCAGCTCTGTTAGTTCAATCCAATGATCACTAAGAATTGTCTGTGAATGCTTCCGTTTGGTTTTTAGATGAAGTTATTTCCTTTACTACAGTAGGCCTCAAAGCAGTCCAAATCTCCAATCGCAGATTCTACAAAAAGATTGTTTACAACCTGCTCTATCTATAGGAATGTTCAACTCTGTGAGTCGAATGCAATCATCACAAAGTAGTTTCTGAGAATGCTTCCATCTAGTTTTTATGTGAAGATTTTCCTTTTCCACCACAGGCCTCAAAGCCCTCCAAATGTCCACTTGCAGATTCTAGAAAAAGAGGGTTTCAGAGCTGCTCTGTCAAGAGGAAAGTTCAATTCTTGAAGTGGAACACAAACATCACAAAGCAGTTTCTGAGAATGCTCCTGTTTAGTTTTTCTGTGAAGATGAACCCGTTTCCAACGAAATCTACACAGAGGTCCACATATCCACTTGCACAATCCAAAGAAAGAGAGTTTCAAAACTGCTCCATCAGCAGGATTGTTCACCTCTGTGAGTTGAATGCAGTCATCACAGGAAACATTCTGAGAATGCTTCTGTCTAGGTTTGATGTGAAGATATACCCGTTTCGAAGGAAGGCCAGAAAGTGGTCCAAATATCCACTTGCAGATTCTACAAAAAGAGTGTTTGAAAGCTGAACTATGAAAGCAAGGTTCAACTCTGTGAGTTGAATGCAAACATCACAAAGAAGTTTCTCAGAATGCTTCCGTGTAGTTCTGGGAAGTTTAGCCCGTTTCCAACGAAATCCTCAGAGAGGTCCAAAATATCCACTTGCAGATTCTACAGAAAGTGTGTTTGGAAACTGCTCCATCTAAAGGAATGTTCAGCTCTGTTAGTTCAATCCAATGATCACTAAGAATTGTCTGTGAATGCTTCCGTTTGGTTTTTAGATGAAGTTATTTCCTTTACTACAGTAGGCCTCAAAGCAGTCGAAATCTCCAATCGCAGATTCTACAAAAAGATTGTTTACAACCTGCTCTATCTATAGGAATGTTCAACTCTGTGAGTCGAATGCAATATTCACAAAGTAGTTTCTGAGAATGCTTCCATCTAGTTTTTATGTGAAGATTTTCCTTTTCCACCACAGGCCTCAAAGCCCTCCAAATGTCCACTTGCAGATTCTAGAAAAAGAGGTTTTCAGAGCTGCTCTGTCAAGAGGAAAGTTCAATTCCTGAAGTGGAACACAAACATCACAAAGCAGTTTCTGAGAATGCTCCTGTTTAGTTTTTCTGTGAAGATGAACCCGTTTCCAACGAAATCTTCACAGAGGTCCACATATCCACTTGCAGAATCCAAAGAAAGAGAGTTTCAAAACTGCTCCATCAGCAGGATTGTTCACCTCTGTGAGTTGAATGCAGTCATCACAGGAAACATTCTGAGAATGCTTCTGTCTAGGTTTGATGTGAAGATATACCCGTTTTGAAGGAAGGCCACAAAGTGGTCCCAATATCCACTTGCAGATTCTACAAAAAGAGTGTTTGAAAGCTGAACTATGAAAGCAAGGTCCAACTCTGTGAGTTGAATGCAAATATCACAAAGAAGTTTCTCAGAATGCTTCCGTGTAGTTCTGGGAAGTTTATCCCGTTTCCAACGAAATCCTCAGAGAGGTCCAAATATCCACTTGCAGATTCTACAGAAAGTGTGTTTGGAAACTGCTCCATCTAAAGGAATGTTCAGCTCTGTTAGTTCAATCCAATGATCACTAAGAATTGTCTGTGAATGCTTCCGTTTGGTTTTTAGATGAAGTTATTTCCTTTACTACAGTAGGCCTCAAAGCAGTCCAAATCTCCAATCGCAGATTCTACAAAAAGATTGTTTACAACCTGCTCTATCTATAGGAATGTTCAACTCTGAGTCGAATGCAATCATCACAAAGTAGTTTCTGAGAATGCTTCCATCTAGTTTTTATGTGAAGAGTTTCCTTTTCCACCACAGGCCTCAAAGCCCTCCAAATGTCCACTTGCAGATTCTAGAAAAAGAGGGTTTCAGAGCTGCTCTGTCAAGAGGAAACTTCAATTCCTGAAGTGGAACACAAACATCACAAAGCAGTTTCTGAGAATGCTCCTGTTTAGTTTTTCTGTGAAGATGAACCCGTTTCCAACGAAATCTTCACAGAGGTCCACATATCCACTTGCAGAATCCAAAGAAAGAGAGTTTCAAAACTGCTCCAACAGCAGGATTGTTCACCTCTGTGAGTTGAATGCAGTCATCACAGGAAACATTCTGAGAATGCTTCTGTCTAGGTTTGATGTGAAGATATACCCGTTTCGAAGGAAGGCCACAAAGTGGTCCAAATATCCACTTGCAGATTCTACAAAAAGAGTGTTTGAAAGCTGAACTATGAAAGCAAGGTTCAACTCTGTGAGTTGAATGCAAACATCACAAAGAAGTTTCTCACAATGCTTCCGTGTAGTTCTTGGAAGTTTAGCCCGTTTCCAACGAAATCCTCAGAGAGGTCCAAATATCCACTTGCAGATTCTACAGAAAGTGTGTTTGGAAACTGCTCCATCTAAAGGAATGTTCAGCTCTGTTAGTTCAATCCAATGATCACTAAGAATTGTCTGTGAATGCTTCCGTTTGGTTTTTAGCATGAAGTTATTTCCTTTACTACAGTAGGCCTCAAAGCAGTCCAAATCTACAATCGCAGATTCTACAAAAAGATTGTTTACAACCTGCTCTATCTATAGGAATGTTCAACTCTGTGAGTCGAATGCAATCATCACAAAGTAGTTTCTGAGAATGCTTCCATCTAGTTTTTATGTGAAGATTTTCCTTTTCAACCACAGGCCTCAAAGCCCTCCAAATGTCCACTTGCAGATTCTAGAAAAAGAGGGTTTCAGAGCTGCTCTTTCAAGAGGAAAGTTCAATTCCTGAAGTGGAACACAAACATCACAAAGCAGTTTCTGAGAATGCTTCTGTTTAGTTTTTCTGTGAAGATGAACCCGTTTCCAACAAAATCTTCACAGAGGTCCACATATCCACTTGCAGAATCCAAAGAAAGAGAGTTTCAAAACTGCTCCATCAGCAGGATTGTTCACCTCTGTGAGTTGAATGCAGTCATCATAGGAAACATTCTGAAAATGCTTCTGTCTAGGTTTGATGTGAAGATATACCCTTTTCAAAGGAAGGCCACAAAGTGGTCCAAATATCCACTTGCAGATTCTACAAAAAGAGTGTTTGAAAGCTGAACTATGAAAGCAAGGTTCAACTCTGTGAGTTGAATGCAAACATCACAAAGAAGTTTCTCACAATGCTTCCGTGTAGTTCTGGGAAGTTTATCCCGTTTCCAACGAAATCCTCAGAGAAGTCCAAATATCCACTTGCAGATTCTACAGAAAGTGGGTTTGGCAACTGCTCCATCTAAAGGAATGTTCAGCTCTGTTAGTTCAATGCAATGATCACTAAGAATTGTCTGTGAATGCTTCCGTTTGGTTTTTAGATGAAGTTATTTCGTTTACTACAGTAGGCCTCAAAGCAATCCAAATCTCCAATCGCAGATTCTACAAAAAGATTGTTTACAACCTGCTCTATCTATAGGAATGTTCAACTCTGTGAGTCGAATGCAATCATCACAAAGTAGTTTCTGAGAATGCTTCCATCTAGTTTTTATGTGAAGATTTTCCTTTTCCACCACAGGCCTCAAAGCCCTCCAAATGTCCACTTGCAGATTCTAGAAAAAGAGGGTTTCAGAGCTGCTCTGTCAAGAGGAAAGTTCAATTCTTGAAGTGGAACACAAACATCACAAAGCAGTTTCTGAGAATGCTTCTGTTTAGTTTTTCTGTGAAGATGAACCCGTTTCCAACGAAATCTTCACATAGGTCCACATATCAACTTGCAGAATCCAAAGAAAGAGAGTTTCAAAACTGCTCCATCAACAGGATTGTTCACCTCTGTGAGTTGAATGCAGTCATCACAGGAAACATTCTGAGAATGCTTCTGTCTAGGTTTGATGTGAAGATATACCCGTTTCGAAGGAAGGCCACAAAATGGCCCAAATATCCACTTGCAGATTCTACAAAAAGAGTGTTTGAAAGCTGAACTATGAAAGCAAGGTTCAACTCTGTGAGTTGAATGCAAACATCACAAAGAAGTTTCTCACAATGCTTCCGTGTAGTTCTGGGAAGTTTATCCCGTTTCCAACGAAATCCTCAGAGAAGTCCAAATATCCACTTGCAGATTCTACAGAAAGTGTGTTTGGAAACTGCTCCATGTAAAGGAATGTTCAGCTCTGTTAGTTCAATGCAATGATCACTAAGAATTGTCTGTGAATGCTTCCGTTTGGTTTTTAGATGAAGTTATTTCCTTTACTACAGTAGGCCTCAAAGCAGTCCAAATCTCCAATCGCAGATTCTACAAAAAGATTGTTTACAACCTGCTCTATCTATAGGAATGTTCAACTCTGTGAGTCGAATGCAATCATCACAAAGTAGTTTCTGAGAATGCTTCCATCTAGTTTTTATGTGAAGATTTTCCTTTTCCACCACAGGCCTCAAAGCCCTCCGAATGTCCACTTGCAGATTCTAGAATAAGAGGGTTTCAGAGCTGCTCGGTCAAGAGGAAAGTTCAATTCTTGAAGTGGAACACAAACATCACAAAGCAGTTTCTGAGAATGCTCCTGTTTAGTTTTTCTGTGAAGATGAACCCGTTTCCAACGAAATCTTCACAGAGGTCCACATATCCACTTGCAGAATCCAAAGAAAGAGAGTTTCAAAACTGCTCCAACAGCAGGATTGTTCACCTCTGTGAGTTGAATGCAGTCATCACAGGAAACATTCTGAGAATGCTTCTGTCTAGGTTTGATGTGAAGATATACCCGTTTCGAAGGAAGGCCACAAAGTGGTCCAAATATCCACTTGCAGATTCTACAAAAAGAGTGTTTGAAAGCTGAACTATGAAAGCAAGGTTCAACTCTGTGAGTTGAATGCAAACATCACAAAGAAGTTTCTCACAATGCTTCCGTGTAGTTCTGGGAAGTTTATCCCGTTTCCAACGAAATCCTCAGAGAAGTCCAAATATCCACTTGCAGATTCTACAGAAAGTGGGTTTGGAAACTGCTCCATCTAAAGGAATGTTCAGCTCTGTTAGTTCAATCCAATAATCACTAAGAATTGTCTGTGAATGCTTCCGTTTGGTTTTTAGATGAAGTTATTTCCTTTACTACAGTAGGCCTCAAAGCAGTCCAAATCTCCAATCGCAGATTCTACAAAAAGATTGTTTACAACCTGCTCTATCTATAGGAATGTTCAACTCTGTGAGTCGAATGCAATCATCACAAAGTAGTTTCTGAGAATGCTTCCATCTAGTTTTTATGTGAAGATTTTCCTTTTCCACCACAGGCCTCAAAGCCCTCCAAATGTCCACTTGCAGATTCTAGAAAAAGAGGGTTTCAGAGCTGCTCTGTCAAGAGGAAAGCTCAATTCTTGAAGTGGAACACAAACATCACAAAGCAGTTTCTGAGAATGCTCCTGTTTAGTTTTTCTGTGAAGATGAACCCGTTTCCAACGAAATCTTCACAGAGATCCACATATCAACTTGCAGAATCCAAAGAAAGAGAGTTTCAAAAGTGCTCCATCAACAGGATTGTTCACCTCTGTGAGTTGAATGCAGTCATCACAGGAAACATTCTGAGAATGCTTCTGTCTAGGTTTGATGTGAAGATATACCCGTTTCGAAGGAAGGCCACAAAGTGGTCCAAATATCCACTTGCAGATTCTACAAAAAGAGTGTTTGAAAGCTGAACTATGAAAGCAAGGTTCAACTCTTTGAGTTGAATGCAAACATGACAAAGAAGTTTCTCAGAATGCTTCCGTGTAGTTCTGGGAAGTTTATCCCGTTTCCAACGAAATCCTCAGAGAAGTCCAAATATCCACTTGCAGATTCTACAGAAAGTGGTTTTGGAAACTGCTCCATCTAAAGGAATGTTCAGCTCTGTTAGTTCAATCCAATGATCACTAAGAATTGTCTGTGAATGCTTCCGTTTGGTTTTTAGATGAAGTTATTTCCTTTACTACAGTAGGCCTCAAAGCAGTCCAAATCTCCAATCGCAGATTCTACAAAAAGATTGTTTTCAACCTGCTCTATCTATAGGAATGTTCAACTCTGTGAGTCGAATGCAATCATCACAAAGTAGTTTCTGAGAATGCTTCCATCTAGTTTTTATGTGAAGATTTTCCTTTTCCACCACAGGCCTCAAAGCCCTCCAAATGTCCACTTGCAGATTCTAGAAAAAGAGGGTTTCAGAGCTGCTCTGTCAAGAGGAAAGTTCAATTCTTGAAGTGGAACACAAACATCACAAAGCAGTTTCTGAGAATGCTTCTGTTTAGTTTTTCTGTGAAGATGAACCCGTTTCCAACGAAATCTTCACAGAGGTCCACATATCCACTTGCAGAATCCAAAGAAAGAGAGTTTCAAAACTGCTCCATCAGCAGGATTGTTCACCTCTGTGAGTTGAATGCAGTCATCACAGGAAACATTCTGAGAATGCTTCTGTCTAGGTTTGATGTGAAGATATACCCGTTTCGAAGGAAGGCCACAAAGTGGTCCAAATATCCACTTGCAGATTCTACAAAAAGAGTGTTTGAAAGCTGAACTATGAAAGCAAGTTTCAACTCTGTGAGTTGAATGCAAACATCACAAAGAAGTTTCTCAGAATGCTTCCGTGTAGTTCTGGGAAGTTTATCCTGTTTCCAACGAAATCCTCAGAGAAGTCCAAATATCCACTTGCAGATTCTACAGAAAGTGTGTTTGTAAACTGCTCTATCTAAAGGAATGTTCAGCTCTGTTTGTTCCATCCAATGATCACTAAGAATTGTCTGTGAATTCTTCCGTTTGGTTTTTAGATGAAGTTATTTCCTTTACTACAGTAGGCCTCAAAGCAGTCCAAATCTCCAATCGCAGATTCTACAAAAAGATTGTTTACAACCTGCTCTATCTATAGGAATGTTCAACTCTGTGAGTCGAATGCAATCATCACAAAGTAGTTTCTGAGAATGCTTCCATCTAGTTTTTATATGAAGATTTTCCTTTTCCACCACAGGCCTCAAAGCCCTTCAAATGTCCTCTTGCAGATTTTAGAATAAGAGGGTTTCAGAGCTGCTCTGTCAAGAGGAAAGTTCAATTCCTGAAGTGGAACACAAACATCACAAAGCAGTTTCTGAGAATGTTTCTGTTTAGTTTTTCTGTGAAGATGAACCCGTTTCCAACGAAATCTTCACAGAGGTCCACATATCCACTTGCAGAATCCAAAGAAAGAGAGTTTCAAAACTGCTCCATCAGCAGGATTGTTCACCTCTGTGAGTTGAATGCAGTCATCACAGGAAACATTCTGAGAATGCTTCTGTCTAGGTTTGATGTGAAGATATACCCGTTTCGAAGGAAGGCCAGAAAGTGGTCCAAATATCCACTTGCAGATTCTACAAAAAGAGTGTTTGAAAGCTGAACTATGAAAGCAAGGTTCAACTCTGTGAGTTGAATGCAAACATCACAAAGAAGTTTCTCAGAATGCTTCCGTGTAGTTCTGGGAAGTTTATCCCGTTTCCAACGAAATCCTCAGAGAAGTCCAAATATCCACTTGCAGATTCTACAGAAAGTGTGTTTGGAAAATGCTCCATCTAAAGGGAATGTTCAGCTCTGTTAGTTCAATCCAATGATCACTAAGAATTGTCTGTGAATGCTTCCGTTTGGTTTTTAGATGAAGTTATTTCCTTTACTACAGTAGGCCTCAAAGCAGTCCAAATCTCCAATCGCAGATTCTACAAAAAGATTGTTTACAACCTGCTCTATCTATAGGAATGTTCAACTCTGTGAGTCGAATGCAATCATCACAAAGGAGTTTCTGAGAATGCTTCCATCTAGTTTTTATGGGAAGATTTTCCTTTTCCACCACAGGCCTCAAAGCCCTCCAAATGTCCACTTGCAGATTCTAGAAAAAGAGGGTTTCAGAGCTGCTCTGTCAAGAGGAAAGTTCAATTCTTGAAGTGGAACACAAACATCACAAAGCAGTTTCTGAGAATGCTTCTGTTTAGTTTTTCTGTGAAGATGAACCCGTTTCGAACGAAATCTTCACAGAGGTCCACATATCAACTTGCAGAATCCAAAGAAAGAGAGTTTCAAAACTGCTCCATCAACAGGATTGTTCACCTCTGTGAGTTGAATGCAGTCATCACAGGAAACATTCTGAGAATGCTTCTGTCTAGGTTTGATGTGAAGATATACCCGTTTCGAAGGAAGGCCACAAAGTGTTCCAAATGTCCACTTGCAGATTCTACAAAAAGAGTGTTTGAAAGCTGAACTATGAAAGCAAGGTTCAACTCTGTGAGTTGAATGCAAACATCACAAAGAAGTTTCTCACAATGCTTCCGTGTAGTTCTGGGAAGTTTATCCCGTTTCCAACGAAATCCTCAGAGAAGTCCAAATATCCACTTGCAGATTCTACAGAAAGTGTGTTTGGAAACTGCTCCATCTAAAGCAATGTTCAGCTCTGATAGTTCAATGCAATGATCACTAAGAATTGTCTGTGAATGCTTCCGTTTGGTTTTTAGATGAAGTTATTTCCTTTACTACAGTAGGCCTCAAAGCAGTCCAAATCTCCAATCGCAGATTCTACAAAAAGATTGTTTACAACCTGCTCTATCTGTAGGAATGTTCAACTCTGTGAGTCGAATGCAATCATCACAAAGTAGTTTCTGAGAATGCTTCCATCTAGTTTTTATGTGAAGATTTTCCTTTTCCACCACAGGCCTCAAAGCCCTCCAAATGTCAACTTGCAGATTCTAGAATAAGAGGGTTTCAGAGCTGCTCTGTCAAGAGGAAAGTTCAATTCCTGAAGTGGAACACAAACATCACAAAGCAGTTTCTGAGAATGCTTCTGTTTAATTTTTCTGTGAAGATGAACCCGTTTCCAACGAAATCTTCACAGAGGTCCACATATCCACTTGCAGAATGCAAAGAAAGAGAGTTTCAAAACTGCTCCATCAACAGGATTGTTCATCTCTATGAGTTGAATGCAGTCATCACAGGAAACATTCTGAGAATGCTTCTGTCTAGGTTTGATGTGAAGATATACCCGTTTCGAAGGAAGGCCACAAAGTGGTCCAAATGTCCACTTGCAGATTCTACAAAAAGAGTGTTTGAAAGCTGAACTATGAAAGCAAGGTTCAACTCTGTGAGTTGAATGCAAACATCACAAAGAAGTTTCTCACAATGCTTCCGTGTAGTTCTGGGAAGTTTATCCCGTTTCCAACGAAATCCTCTGAGAAGTCCAAATATCCACTTGCAGATTCTACAGAAAGTGGGTTTGGAAACTGCTCCATCTAAAGGAATGTTCAGCTCTGTTAGTTCAATCCAATGATCACTAAGAATTGTCTGTGAATGCTTCCGTTTGGTTTTTAGATGAAGTTATTTCCTTTACTACAGTAGGCCTCAAAGCAGTCCAAATCTCCAATCGCAGATTCTACAAAAAGATTGTTTACAACCTGCTCTATCTATAGGAATGTTCAACTCTGTGAGTCGAATGCAATCATCACAAAGTAGTTTCTGAGAATGCTTCCATCTAGTTTTTATGTGAAGATTTTCCTTTTCCACCACAGGCCTCAAAGCCCTCCAAATGTCCACTTGCAGATTCTAGAATAAGAGGGTTTTAGAGCTGCTCTGTCAAGAGGAAAGTTCAATTCCTGAAGTGGAACACAAACATCACAAAGCAGTTTCTGAGAATGCTCCTGTTTAGTTTTTCTGTGAAGATGAACCCGTTTCCAACGAAATCTTCACAGAGGTCCACATATCCACTTGCAGAATCCAAAGAAAGAGAGTTTCAAAACTGCTCCATCAGCAGGATTGTTCACCTCTGTGAGTTGAATGCAGTCATCACAGGAAACATTCTGAGAATGCTTCTGTCTAGGTTTGATGTGAAGATATACCCGTTTCGAAGGAAGGCCACAAAGTGGTCCAAATATCCACTTGCAGATTCTACAAAAAGAGTGTTTGAAAGCTGAACTATGAAAGCAAGGTTCAACTCTGTGAGTTGAATGCAAACATCACAAAGAAGTTTCTCAGAATGCTTCCGTGTAGTTCTGGGAAGTTTAGACCGTTTCCAACGAAATCCTCAGAGAGGTCCAAATATCCACTTGCAGATTCTACAGAAAGTGTGTTTGGAAACTGCGCCATCTAAAGGAATGTTCAGCTCTGTTAGTTCAATCCAATGATCACTAAGAATTGTCTGTGAATGCTTCCGTTTGATTTTTAGATGAAGTTATTTCCTTTACTACAGTAGGCCTCAAAGCAGTCCAAATCTCCAATCGCAGATTCTACAAAAAGATTGTTTACAACCTGCTCTATCTATAGGAATGTTCAACTCTGTGAGTCGAATGCAATCATCACAAAGTAGTTTCTGAGAATGCTTCCATCTAGTTTTTATGTGAAGATTTTCCTTTTCCACCACAGGCCTCAAAGCCCTCCAAATGTCCACTTGCAGATTCTAGAAAAAGAGGGTTTCAGAGCTGCTCTGTCAAGAGGAAAGTTCAATTCCTGAAGTCGAACACAAACATCACACAGCAGTTTCTGAGAATGCTTCTGTTTAGTTTTTCTGTGAAGATGAACCCGTTTCCAACGAAATCTTCACAGAGGTCCACATATCCACTTGCAGAATCCAAAGAAAGAGAGTTTCAAAACTGCTCCATCAGCAGGATTGTTCACCTCTGTGAGTTGAATGCAGTCATCACAGGAAACATTCTGAGAATGCTTCTGTCTAGGTTTGATGTGAAGATATACCCGTTTCGAAGGAAGGCCACAAAGTGGTCCAAATATCCACTTGCAGATTCTACAAAAAGAGTGTTTGAAAGCTGAACAATGAAAGCAAGGTTCAACTCTGTGAGTTGAATGCAAACATCACAAAGAAGTTTCTCAGAATGCTTCCGTGTAGTTCTGATAAGTTTATCCCGTTTCCAACGAAATCCTCAGAGAAGTCCAAATATCCACTTGCAGATTCTACAGAAAGTGTGTTTGGAAACTGCTCCATCTAAAGGAATGTTCAGCTCTGTTAGTTCAATCCAATATCACTAAGAATTATCTGTGAATGCTTCCGTTTGGTTTTTAGATGAAGTTATTTCCTTTACTACAGTAGGCCTCAAAGCAGTCCAAATCTCCAATCGCAGATTCTACAAAAAGATTGTTTACAACCTGCTCTATCTATAGGAATGTTCAACTCTGTGAGTCGAATGATATCATCACAAAGTAGTTTCTGAGAATGCTTCCATCTAGTTATTATGTGAAGATTTTCCTTTTCCACCACAGGCCTCAAAGCCCTCCAAATGTCCACTTGCAGATTCTAGAATAAGAGGGTTTCAGAGCTGCTCTGTCAAGAGGAAAGTTCAATTCCTGAAGTGGAACACAAACATCACAAAGCAGTTTCTGAGAATGCTTCTGTTTAGTTTTTCTGTGAAGATGAACCCGTTTCCAACGAAATCTTCACAGAGGACCACATATTCACTTGCAGAATCCAAAGAAGGAGAGTTTCAAAAGTGCTCCATCAGCAGGATTGTTCACCTCTGTGAGTTGAATGCAGTCATCACAGGAAACATTCTGAGAATGCTTCTGTCTAGGTTTGATGTGAAGATATACCCGTTTCGAAGGAAGACCACAAATGGTCCAAATATCCACTTGCAGATTCTACAAAAAGAGTGTTTGAAAGCTGAACTATGAAAGCAAGGTTCAACTCTGTGTGTTGCATGCAAACTTCACAAAGAAGTTTCTCAGAATGCTTCCGTGTAGTTCTGGGAAGTTTATCCCGTTTCCAACGAAATCCTCAGAGAGGTCCAAATATCCACTTGCAGATTGTACAGAAAGTGAGTTTGGAAACTGCGCCATCTAAAGGAATGTTCAGCTCTGTTAGTTCAATCCAATGATCACTAAGAATTGTCTGTGAATACTTCCGTTTGGTTTTTAGATGAAGTTCTTTCCTTTACTACAGTAGGCCTCAAAGCAGTCCAAATCTCCAATCGCAGATTCTACAAAAAGATTGTTTACAACCTGCTCTATCTATAGGAATGTTCAACTCTGTGAGTCGAATGCAATCATCACAAAGTAGTTTCTGAGAATGCTTCCATCTAGTTTTTATGTGAAGATTTTCCTTTTCCACCACAGGCCTCAAAGCCCTCCAAATGTCCACTTGCAGATTCTAGAAAAAGAGGGTTTCAGAGCTGCTCTGTCAAGAGGAAAGTTCAATTCCTGAAGTGGAACACAAACATCACAAAGCAGTTTCTGAGAATGCTCCCGTTTAGTTTTTCTGTGAAGATGAACCCGTTTCCAACGAAATCTTCACAGAGGTCCACATATCCACCTGCAGAATCCAAAGAAAGAGAGTTTCAAAACTGCTCCATCAGCAGGATTGTTCACCTCTGTGAGTTGAATGCAGTCATCACAGGAAACATTCTGAGAATGCTTCTGTCTAGGTTTGATGTGAAGATATACCCGTTTCGAAGGAAGGCCACAAAGTGGTCCAAATATCCACTTGCAGATTCTACAAAAAGAGTGTTTGAAAGCTGAACTATGAAAGCAAGGTTCAACTCTGTGAGTTGAATGCAAACATCACAAAGAAGTTTCTCAGAATACTTCCGTGTAGTTCTGGGAAGTTTATCCCGTTTCCAACGAAATCCTCAGAGAGGTCCAAATATCCACTTGCAGATTCTACAGAAAGTGTGTTTGGAAACTGCGCTATCTAAGGGAATGTTCAGCTCTGTTAGTTCAATCCAATGATCACTAAGAATTGTCTGTGAATGCTTCCGTTTGGTTTTTAGATGAAGTTATTTCCTTTACTACAGTAGGCCTCAAAGCAGTCCAAATCTCCAATCGCAGATTCTACAAAAAGATTGTTTACAACCTGCTCTATCTATAGGAATGTTCAACTCTGTGAGTCGAATGCAATCATCACAAAGTAGTTTCTGAGAATGCTTCCATCTAGTTTTTATGTGAAGATTTTCCTTTTCCACCACAGGCCTCAAAGCCCTCCAAATGTCCACTTGCAGATTCTAGAAAAAGAGGGTTTCAGAGCTGCTCTGTCAAGAGGAAAGTTCAATTCTTGAAGTGGAACACAAACATCACAAAGCAGTTTCTGAGAATGCTCCTGTTTAGTTTTTCTGTGAAGATGAACCCGTTTCCAACGAAATCTTCACAGAGGTCCACATATCCACTTGCAGAATCCAAAGAAAGAGAGTTTCAAAACTGCTCCATCAGAAGGATTGTTCACCTCTGTGAGTTGAATGCAGTCATCACAGGAAACATTCTGAGAATGCTTCTGTCTAGGTTTGATGTGAAGATATACCCGTTTCGAAGGAAGGCCACAAAGTGGTCCAAATATCCACTTGCAGATTCTACAAAAAGAGTGTTTGAAAGCTGAACTATGAAAGCAAGGTTCAACTCTGTGAGTTGAATGCAAACATCACAAAGAAGTTTCTCACAATGCTTCCGTGTAGTTCTGGGAAGTTTATCCCGTTTCCAACGAAATCCTCAGAGAAGTCCAAATATCCACTTGCAGATTCTACAGAAAGTGTGTTTGGAAACTGCTCCATCTAAAGGAATGTTCAGCTCTGTTAGTTCAATGCAATGATCACTAAGAATTGTCTGTGAATGCTTCCGTTTGGTTTTTAGATGAAGTTATTTCCTTTACTACAGTAGGCCTCAAAGCAGTCCAAATCTCCAATCGCAGATTCTACAAAAAGATTGTTTACAACCTGCTCTATCTATAGGAATGTTCAACTCTGTGAGTCGAATGCAATCATCACAAAGTAGTTTCTGAGAATGCTTCCATCTAGTTTTTATGTGAAGATTTTCCTTTTCCACCACAGGCCTCAAAGCCCTCCAAATGTCCACTTGCAGATTCTAGAAAAAGAGGGTTTCAGAGCTGCTCTGTCAAGAGGAAAGTTCAATTCTTGAAGTGGAACACAAACATCACAAAGCAGTTTCTGAGAATGCTTCTGTTTAGTTTTTCTGTGAAGATGAACCCGTTTCCAACGAAATCTTCACAGAGGTCCACATATCCACTTGCAGAATCCAAAGAAAGAGAGTTTCAAAACTGCTCCATCAGCAGGATTGTTCACCTCTGTGAGTTGAATGCAGTCATCACAGGAAACATTCTGAGAATGCTTCTGTCTAGGTTTGATGTGAAGATATACCCGTTTCGAAGGAAGGCCACAAAGTGGTCCAAATATCCACTTGCAGATTCTACAAAAGGAGTGTTTGAAAGCTGAACTATGAAAGCAAGGTTCAACTCTGTGAGTTGAATGCAAACATCACAAAGAAGTTTCTCACAATGCTTCCGTGTAGTTCTGGGAAGTTTATCCCGTTTCCAACGAAATCCTCAGAGAAGTCCAAATATCCACTTGCAGATTCTACAGAAAGTGGGTTTGGAAACTGCTCCATCTAAAGGAATGTTCAGCTCTGTTAGTTCAATGCAATGATCACTAAGAATTGTCTGTGAATGCTTCCGTTTGGTTTTTAGATGAAGTTATTTCCTTTACTACAGTAGGCCTCAAAGCAGTCCAAATCTCCAATCGCAGATTCTACAAAAAGATTGTTTACAACCTGCTCTATCTATAGGAATGTTCAACTCTGTGAGTCGAATGCAATCATCACAAAGTAGTTTCTGAGAATGCTTCCATCTAGTTTTTATGTGAAGATTTTCCTTTTCCACCACAGGCCTCAAAGCCCTCCAAATGTCCACTTGCAGATTCTAGAATAAGAGGGTTTCAGAGCTGCTCTGTCAAGAGGAAAGTTCAATTCCTGAAGTGGAACACAAACATCACAAAGCAGTTTCTGAGAATGCTCCTGTTTAGTTTTTCTGTGAAGATGAACCCGTTTCCAACGAAATCTTCACAGAGGTCCACATATCCACTTGCAGAATCCAAAGAAAGAGAGTTTCAAAACTGCACCATCAGCAGGATTGTTCACCTCTGTGAGTTGAATGCAGTCATCACAGGAAACATTCTGAGAATGCTTCTGTCTAGGTTTGATGTGAAGATATACCCGTTTCGAAGGAAGGCCACAAAGTGGTCCAAATATCCACTTGCAGATTCTACAAAAAGAGTGTTTGAAAGCTGAACTATGAAAGCAAGGTTCAACTCTGTGAGTTGAATGCAAACATCACAAAGAAGTTTCTCAGAATGCTTCCGTGTAGTTCTGGGAAGTTTATCCCGTTTCCAACAAAATCCTCAGAGAGGTCCAAATATCCACCTGCAGATTCTACAGAAAGTGTGTTTGGAAACTGCTCCATCTAAAGGAATGTTCAGCTCTGTTAGTTCAATCCAATGATCACTAAGAATTGTCTGTGAATGCTTCCGTTTGGTTTTTAGATGAAGTTATTTCCTTTACTACAGTAGGCCTCAAAGCAGTCCAAATCTCCAATCGCAGATTCTACAAAAAGATTGTTTACAACCTGATCTATCTATAGGAATGTTCAACTCTGTGAGTCGAATGCAATCATCACAAAGTAGTTTCTGAGAATGCTTCCATCTAGTTTTTATGTGAAGATTTTCCTTTTCCACCACAGGCCTCAAAGCCCTCCAAATGTCCACTTGCAGATTCTAGAAAAAGAGGGTTTCAGAGCTGCTCTGTCAAGAGGAAAGTTCAATTCTTGAAGTGGAACACAAACATCACAAAGCAGTTTCTGAGAATGCTCCTGTTTAGTTTTTCTGTGAAGATGAACCCGTTTCCAACGAAATCTTCACAGAGGTCCACATATCCACTTGCAGAATCCAAAGAAAGAGAGTTTCAAAACTGCTCCATCAGCAGGATTGTTCACCTCTGTGAGTTGAATGCAGTCATCACAGGAAACATTCCGAGAATGCTTCTGTCTAGGTTTGATGTGAAGATATACCCGTTTCGAAGGAAGGCCACAAAGTGGTCCAAATATCCACTTACAGATTCTACAAAAAGAGTGTTTGAAAGCTGAACTATGAAAGCAAGGTTCAACTCTGTGAGTTGAATGCAAACATCACAAAGAAGTTTCTCACAATGCTTCCGTGTAGTTCTGGGAAGTTTATCCCGTTTCCAACGAAATCCTCAGAGAAGTCCAAATATCCACTTGCAGATTCTACAGAAAGTGGGTTTGGAAACTGCTCCATCTAAAGGAATGTTCAGCTCTGTTAGTTCAATCCAATGATCACTAAGAATTGTCTGTGAATGCTTCCGTTTGGTTTTTAGATGAAGTTATTTCCTTTACTACAGTAGGCCTCAAAGCAGTCCAAATCTCCAATCGCAGATTCTACAAAAACATTGTTTACAACCTGCTCTATCTATAGGAATGTTCAACTCTGTGAGTCGAATGCAATCATCACAAAGTAGTTTCTGAGAATGCTTCCATCTAGTTTTTATGTGAAGATTTTCCTTTTCCACCACAGGCCTCAAAGCCCTCCAAATGTCCACTTGCAGATTCTAGAATAAGAGGGTTTCAGAGCTGCTCTGTCAAGAGGAAAGTTCAATTCCTGAAGTGGAACACAAACATCACAAAGCAGTTTCTGAGAATGCTTCTGTTTAGTTTTTCTGTGAAGATGAACCCGTTTCCAACGAAATCTTCACAGAGGTCCACATATCAACTTGCAGAATCCAAAGAAAGAGAGTTTCAAAAGTGCTCCATCAACAGGATTGTTCACCTCTGTGAGTTGAATGCAGTCATCACAGGAAACATTCTGAGAATGCTTCTGTCTATGTTTGATGTGAAGATATACCCGTTTCGAAGGAAGGCCACAAAGTGGTCCAAATATCCACTTGCAGATTCTACAAAAAGAGTGTTTGAAAGCTGAACTATGAAAGCAAGGTTCAACTCTGTGAGTTGAATGCAAACATCACAAAGAAGTTTCTCAGAATGCTTCCGTGTAGTTCTGGGAAGTTTATCCCGTTTCCAACGAAATCCTCAGAGAAGTCCAAATATCCACTTGCACATTCTACAGAAAGTGTGTTTGGAAACTGCTCCATCTAAAGGAATGTTCAGCTCTGTTAGTTCAATCCAATGATCACTAAGAATTGTCTGTGAATGCTTCCGTTTGGTTTTTAGATGAAGTTATTTCCTTTACTACAGTAGGCCTCAAAGCAGTCCAAATCTCCAATCGCAGATTCTACAAAAAGATTGTTTACAACCTGCTCTATGTATAGGAATGTTCAACTCTGTGAGTCGAATGCAATCATCACAAAGTAGTTTCTGAGAATGCTTCCATCTAGTTTTTATGTGAAGATTTTCCTTTTGCACCACAGGCCTCAAAGCCCTCCAAATGTCCACTTGCAGATTCTAGAATAAGAGGGTTTCAGAGCTGCTCTTTCAAGAGGAAAGTTCAATTCCTGAAGTGGAACACAAACATCACAAAGCAGTTTCTGAGAATGCTTCTGTTTAGTTTTTCTGTGAAGATGAACCCGTTTCCAACGAAATCTTCACAGAGGTCCACATATCCACTTGCAGAATCCAAAGAAAGAGAGTTTCAAAACTGCTCCATCAGCAGGATTGTTCACCTCTGTGAGTTGAATGCAGTCATCACAGGAAACATTCTGAGAATGCTTCTGTCTAGGTTTGATGTGAAGATATACCCGTTTCGAAGGAAGGCCACAAAGTGGTCCAAATATCCACTTGCAGATTCTACAAAAAGAGTGTTTGAAAGCTGAACTATGAAAGCAAGGTTCAACTCTGTGAGTTGAATGCAAACATCACAAAGAAGTTTCTCAGAATGCTTCCGTGTAGTTCTGGGAAGTTTATCCCGTTTCCAACGAAATCCTCAGAGATGTCCAAATATCCACTTGCAGATTCTACAGAAAGTGGGTTTGGCAACTGCTCCATCTAAAGGAATGTTCAGCTCTGTTAGTTCAATCCAATGATCACTAAGAATTGTCTGTGAATGCTTCCGTTTGGTTTTTAGATGAAGTTATTTCCTTTACTACAGTAGGCCTCAAAGCAGTCCAAATCTCCAATCGCAGATTCTACAAAAACATTGTTTACAACCTGCTCTATCTATAGGAATGTTCAACTCTGTGAGTCGAATGCAATCATCACAAAGTAGTTTCTGAGAATGCTCCCATCTAGTTTTTATGTGAAGAGTTTCCTTTTCCACCACAGGCCTCAAAGCCCTCCAAATGTCCACTTGCACATTCTAGAAAAAGAGGGTTTCAGAGCTGCTCTCTCAAGAGGAAAGTTCAGTTCCTGAAGTGGAACACAAACATCACAAAGCAGTTTCTGAGAATGCTCCTGTTTAGTTTTTCTGTGAAGATGAACCCGTTTCCAACGAAATCTTCACAGAGGTCCACATATCCACTTGCAGAATCCAAAGAAAGAGAGTTTCAAAACTGCTCCATCAGCAGGATTGTTCACCTCTGTGAGTTGAATGCAGTCATCACAGGAAACATTCTGAGAATGCTTCTGTCTAGGTTTGATGTGAAGATATACCCGTTTCGAAGGAAGGCCACAAAGTGGTCCAAATATCCAATTGCAGATTCTACAAAAAGAGTGTTTGAAAGCTGAACTATGAAAGCAAGGTTCAACTCTGTGAGTTGAATGCAAACATCACAAAGAATTTTCTCAGAATGCTTCCGTGTAGTTCTGGGAAGTTTATCCCTTTTCCAACGAAATCCTCAGAGAAGTCCAAATATCCACTTGCAGATTCTACAGAAAGTGTGTTTGGAAACTGCGCCATCTAAAGGAATGTTCAGCTCTGTTAGTTCAATGCAATGATCACTAAGAATTGTCTGTGAATGCTTCCGTTTGGTTTTTAGATGAAGTTATTTCCTTTACTACAGTAGGCCTCAAAGCAGTCCAAATCTCCAATCGCAGATTCTACAAAAAGATTGTTTACAACCTGCTCTATCTATAGGAATGTTCAACTCTGTGAGTCGAATGCAATCATCACAAAGTAGTTTCTGAGAATGCTTCCATCTAGTTTTTATGTGAAGATTTTCCTTTTCCACCACAGGCCTCAAAGCCCTCCAAATGTCCACTTGCAGATTCTAGAAAAAGAGGGTTTCAGAGCTGCTCTGTCAAGAGGAAAGTTCAATTCTTGAAGTGGAACACAAACATCACAAAGCAGTTTCTGAGAATGCTCCTGTTATTTTTTCTGTGAAGATGAACCCGTTTCCAACGAAATCTTCACAGAGGTCCACATATCCACTTGCAGAATCCAAAGAAAGAGAGTTTCAAAACTGCTCCAATCAGACAGGATTGTTCACCTCTGTGAGTTGAATGCAGTCATCACAGGAAACATTCTGAGAATGCTTCTGTCTAGGTTTGATGTGAAGATATACCCGTTTCGAAGGAAGGCCACAAAGTGGTCCAAATATCCACTTGCAGATTCTACAAAAAGAGTGTTTGAAAGCTGAACTATGAAAGCAAGGTTCAACTCTGTGAGTTGAATGCAAACATCACAAAGAAGTTTCTCACAATGCTTCCGTGTAGTTCTGGGAAGTTTATCCCGTTTCCAACGAAATCCTCAGAGAAGTCCAAATATCCACTTGCAGATTCTGCAGAAAGTGTGTTTGGAAACTGCTCCATCTAAAGGAATGTTCAGTTCTGTTAGTTCAATCCAATGATCACTAAGAATTGTCTGTGAATGCTTCCGTTTGGTTTTTAGATGAAGTTATTTCCTTTACTACAGTAGGCCTCAAAGCAGTCCAAATCTCCAATCGCAGATTCTACAAAAAGATTGTTTACAACCTGCTCTATCTATAGGAATGTTCAACTCTGTGAGTCGAATGCAATCATCACAAAGTAGTTTCTGAGAATGCTTCCATCTAGTTTTTATGTGAAGATTTTCCTTTTCCACCACAGGCCTCAAAGCCCTCCAAATGTCCACTTGCAGATTCTAGAAAAAGAGGGTTTCAGAGCTGCTCTGTCAAGAGGAAAGTTCAATTCTTGAAGTGGAACACAAACATCACAAAGCAGTTTCTGAGAATGCTTCTGTTTAGTTTTTCTGTGAAGATGAACCCGTTTCCAACGAAATCTTCACAGAGGTCCACATATCCACTTGCAGAATCCAAAGAAAGAGAGTTTCAAAACTGCTCCATCAGCAGGATTGTTCACCTTTGTGAGTTGAATGCAGTCATCACAGGAAACATTCTGAGAATGCTTCTGTCTAGGTTTGATGTGAAGATATACCCGTTTCGAAGGAAGGCCACAAAGTGGTCCAAATATCCACTTGCAGATTCTACAAAAAGAGTGTTTGAAAGCTGAACTATGAAAGCAAGGTTCAACTCTGTGAGTTGAATGCAAACATCACAAAGAAGTTTCTCACAATGCTTCCGTGTAGTTCTGGGAAGTTTATCCCGTTTCCAACGAAATCCTCAGAGAAGTCCAAATATCCACTTGCAGATTCTACAGAAAGTGGGTTTGGAAACTGCTCCATCTAAAGGAATGTTCAGCTCTGTTAGTTCAATGCAATGATCACTAAGAATTGTCTGTGAATGCTTCCGTTTGGTTTTTAGATGAAGTTATTTCCTTTACTACAGTAGGCCTCAAAGCAGTCCAAATCTCCAATCGCAGATTCTACAAAAAGATTGTTTACAACCTGCTCTATCTATAGGAATGTTCAACTCTGTGAGTCGAATGCAATCATCACAAAGTAGTTTCTGAGAATGCTTCCATCTAGTTTTTATGTGAAGATTTTCCTTTTCCACCACAGGCCTCAAAGCCCTCCAAATGTCCACTTGCAGATTCTAGAATAAGAGGGTTTCAGAGCTGCTCTGTCAAGAGGAAAGTTCAATTCCTGAAGTGGAACACAAACATCACAAAGTAGTTTCTGAGAATGCTTCTGTTTAGTTTTTCTGTGAAGATGAACCCGTTTCCAACGAAATCTTCACAGAGGTCCACATATCCACTTGCAGAATCCAAAGAAAGTTTCAAAACTGCTCCATCAACAGGATTGTTCACCTCTGTGAGTTGAATGCAGTCATCACAGGAAACATTCTGAGAATGCTTCTGTCTAGGTTTGATGTGAAGATATACCCGTTTCGAAGGAAGGCCAGAAAGTGGTCCAAATATCCACTTGCAGATTCTACAAAAAGAGTGTTTGAAAGCTGAACTATGAAAGCAAGGTTCAACTCTGTGAGTTGAATGCAAACATCACAAAGAAGTTTCTCAGAATGCTTCCATGTAGTTCTGGGAAGTTTATCCCTTTTCCAACGAAATCCTCAGAGTAGTCCAAATATCCACTTGCAGATTCTACAGAAAGTGTGTTTGGAAAATGCTCCATCTAAAGGAATGTTCAGCTCTGTTAGTTCAATCCAATGATCACTAAGAATTGTCTGTGAATGCTTCCGTTTGGTTTTTAGATGAAGTTATTTCCTTTACTACAGTAGGCCTCAAAGCAGTCCAAATCTCCAATCGCAGATTCTACAAAAAGATTGTTTACAACCTGCTCTATCTATAGGAATGTTCAACTCTGTGAGTCGAATGCAATCATCACAAAGTAGTTTCTGAGAATGCTTCCATCTAGTTTTTATGTGAAGATTTTCCTTTTCCACCACCGGCCTCAAAGCCCTCCAAATGTCCACTTGCAGATTCTAGAATAAGAGGATTTCAGAGCTGCTCTGTCAAGAGGAAAGTTCAATTCCTGAAGTGGAACACAAACATCACAAAGCAGTTTCTGAGAATGCTTCTGTTTAGTTTTTCTGTGAAGATGAACCCGTTTCAACGAAATCTTCACAGAGGTCCACATATCCACTTGCAGAATCCAAAGAAAGAGAGTTTCAAAACTGTTCCATCAGCAGCATTGTTCACCTCTGTGAGTTGAATGCAGTCATCACAGGAAACATTCTGAGAATGCTTCTGTCTAGGTTTGATGTGAAGATATACCCGTTTCGAAGGAAGGCCACAAAGTGGTCCAAATATCCACTTGCAGATTCTACAAAAAGAGTGTTTGAAAGCTGAACTATGAAAGCAAGGTTCAACTCTGTGAGTTGAATGCAAACATCCAAAAGAATTTTCTCACAATGCTTCCGTGTAGTTCTGGGAAGTTTATCCCGTTTCCAACGAAATCCTCAGAGAGGTCCAAATATCCACTTGCAGATTCTACAGAAAGTGTGTTTGGAAACTGCGCCATCTAAAGGAATGTTCAGCTCTGTTAGTTCAATCCAATGATCACTAAGAATTGTCTGTGAATGCTTCCGTTTGGTTTTTAGATGAAGTTATTTCCTTTACTACAGTAGGCCTCAAAGCAGTCCAAATCTCCAATCGCAGATTCTACAAAAAGATTGTTTACAACCTGCTCTATCTATAGGAATGTTCAACTCTGTGAGTCGAATGCAATCATCACAAAGTAGTTTCTGAGAATGCTTCCATCTAGTTTTTATGTGAAGATTTTCCTTTTCCACCACAGGCCTCAAAGCCCTCCAAATGTCCACTTGCAGATTCTAGAATAAGAGGGTTTCAGAGCTGCTCGGTCAAGAGGAAAGTTCAATTCTTGAAGTGGAACACAAACATCACAAAGCAGTTTCGGAGAATGCTCCTGTTTAGTTTTTCTGTGAAGATGAACCCGTTTCCAACGAAATCTTCACAGAGGTCCACATATCCACTTGCAGAATCCAAAGAAAGAGAGTTTCAAAACTGCTCCATCAGCAGGATTGTTCACCTCTGTGAGTTGAATGCAGTCATCACAGGAAACATTCTGAGAATGCTTCTGTCTAGGTTTGATGTGAAGATATACCCGTTTCGAAGGAAGGCCACAAAGTGGTCCAAATATACTCTTGCAGATTCTACAAAAAGAGTGTTTGAAAGCTGAACTATGAAAGCAAGGTTCAACTCTGTGAGTTGAATGCAAACATCACAAAGAAGTTTCTCAGAATGCTTTCGTGTAGTTCTGGAAAGTTTATCCCGTTTCCAACGAAATCCTCAGAGAGGTCCAAATATCCAGTTGCAGATTCTACAGAAAGTGTGTTTGGAATCTGCTCCATCTAAAGGAATGTTCAGCTCTGTTAGTTCAATCCAATGATCACTAAGAATTGTCTGTGAATGCTTCCGTTTGGTTTTTAGATGAAGTTATTTCCTGTACTACAGTAGGCCTCAAAGCAGTCCAAATCTCCAATCGCAGATTCTACAAAAAGATTGTTTTCAACCTGCTCTATCTATAGGAATGTTCAACTCTGTGAGTCGAATGCAATCATCACAAAGTAGTTTCTGAGAATGCTTCCATCTAGTTTTTATGTGAAGATTTTCCTTTTCCACCACAGGCCTCAAAGCCCTCCAAATGTCCACTTGCAGATTCTAGAAAAAGAGGGTTTCAGAGCTGCTCTGTCAAGAGGAAAGTTCAATTCTTGAAGTGGAACACAAACATCACAAAGCAGTTTCTGAGAATGCTTCTGTTTAGTTTTTCTGTGAAGATGAACCCGTTTCCAACGAAATCTTCACAGAGGTCCACATATCCACTTGCAGAATCCAAAGAAAGAGAGTTTCAAAACTGCTCCATCAGCAGGATTGTTCACCTCTGTGAGTTGAATGCAGTCATCACAGGAAACATTCTGAGAATGCTTCTGTCTAGGTTTGATGTGAAGATATACCCCTTTCGAAGGAAGGCCACAAAGTGGTCCAAATATCCACTTGCAGATTCTACAAAAAGAGTGTTTGAAAGCTGAACTATGAAAGCAAGGTTCAACTCTGTGAGTTGAATGCAAACATCACAAAGAAGATTCTCAGAATGCTTCCGTGTAGTTCTGGGAAGTATATCCCGTTTCCAACGACATCCTCAGAGAAGTCCAAATATCCACTTGCAGATTCTACAGAAAGTGTGTTTGGAAACTGCTCCATCTAAAGGAATGTTCAGCTCTGTTAGTTCAATCCAATGATCACTAAGAATTGTCTGTGAATGCTTCCGTTTGGTTTTTAGATGAAGTTATTTCCTTTACTACAGTAGGCCTCAAAGCAGAACAAATCTCCAATCGCAGATTCTACAAAAAGATTGTTTACAACCTGCTCTATCTATAGGAATGTTCAACTCTGTGAGTCGAATGCAATCATCACAAAGTAGTTTCTGAGAATGCTTCCATCTAGTTTTTATGTGAAGATTTTCCTTTTCCACCACAGGCCTCAAAGCCCTCCAAATGTCCACTTGCAGATTCTAGAATAAGAGGGTTTCAGAGCTGCTCTGTCAAGAGGAAAGTTCAATTCCTGAAGTGGAACACAAACATCACAAAGCAGTTTCTGAGAATGCTCCTGTTTAGTTTTTCTGTGAAGATGAACACGTTTCCAACGAAATCTTCACAGAGGTCCACATATCCACTTGCAGAATCCAAAGAAAGAGAGTTTCAAAACTGCTCCATCAGAAGGATTGTTCACCTCTGTGAGTTGAATGCAGTCATCACAGGAAACATTCTGAGAATGCTTCTGTCTAGGTTTGATGTGAAGATATACCCGTTTCGAAGGAAGGCCACAAAGTGGTCCAAATATCCACTTGCAGATTCTACAAAAAGAGTGTTTGAAAGCTGAAGTATGAAAGCAAGGTTCAACTCTGTGAGTTGAATGCAAACATCACAAAGAAGTTTCTCAGACTGCTTCCGTGTAGTTCTGGGAAGTTTATCCCGTTTCCAACGAAATCCTCAGAGAAGTCCAAATATCCACTTACAGATTCTGCAGAAAGTGTGTTTGGAAACTGCTCCATCTAAAGGAATGTTCAGCTCTGTTAGTTCAATCCAATGATCACTAAGAATTGTCTGTGAATGATTCCGTTTGGTTTTTAGATGAAGTTATTTCCTTTACTACAGTAGGCCTCAAAGCAGTCCAAATCTCCAATCGCAGATTCTACAAAAACATTGTTTACAACCTGCTCTATCTATAGGAATGTTCAACTCTGTGAGTCGAATGCAATCATCACAAAGTAGTTTCTGAGAATGCTTCCATCTAGTTTTTATGGGAAGATTTTCCTTTTCCACCACAGGCCTCAAAGCCCTCCAAATGTCCACTTGCAGATTCTAGAAAAAGAGGGTTTCAGAGCTGCTCTGTCAAGAGGAAAGTTCAATTCTTGAAGTGGAACACAAACATCACAAAGCAGTTTCTGAGAATGCTCCTGTTTAGTTTTTCTGTGAAGATGAACACGTTTCCAACGAAATCTTCACAGAGGTCCACATATCCACTTGCAGAATCCAAAGAAAGAGAGTTTCAAAACTGCTCCATCAGCAGGATTGTTCACCTCTGTGAGTTGAATGCAGTCATCACAGGAAACATTCTGAGAATGCTTCTGTCTAGGTTTGATGTGAAGATATACCCGTTTTGAAGGAAGGCCACAAAGTGGTCCAAATATCCACTTGCAGATTCTACAAAAAGAGTGTTTGAAAGCTGAACTATGAAAGCAAGGTTCAACTCTGTGAGTTGAATGCAAACATCACAAAGAAGTTTCTCACAATGCTTCCGTGTAGTTCTGGGAAGTTTATCCCGTTTCCAACGAAATCCTCAGAGAAGTCCAAATATCCACTTGCAGATTCTACAGAAAGTGGGTTTGGAAACTGCTCCATCTAAAGGAATGTTCAGCTCTGTTAGTTCAATCCAATGATCACTAAGAATTGTCTGTGAATGCTTCCGTTTGATTTTTAGATGAAGTTATTTCCTTTACTACAGTAGGCCTCAAAGCAGTCCAAATCTCCAATCGCAGATTCTACAAAAAGATTGTTTACAACCTGCTCTATCTATAGGAATGTTCAACTCTGTGAGTCGAATGCAATCATCACAAAGTAGTTTCTGAGAATGCTTCCATCTAGTTTTTATGTGAAGATTTTCCTTTTCCACCACAGGCCTCAATGCCCTCCAAATGTCCACTTGCAGATTCTAGAAAAAGAGGGTTTCAGAGCTGCTCTGTCAAGAGGAAAGTTCAATTCCTGAAGTGGAACACAAACATCACAAAGCAGTTTCTGAGAATGCTTCTGTTTAGTTTTTCTGTGAAGATGAACCCGTTTCCAACGAAATCTTCACAGAGGTCCACATATCCACTTGCAGAATCCAAAGAAAGAGAGTTTCAAAACTGCTCCATCAGCAGGATTGTTCACCTCTGTGAGTTGAATGCAGTCATCACAGGAAACATTCTGAGAATGCTTCTGTCTAGGTTTGATGTGAAGATATACCCGTTTCGAAGGAAGGCCACAAAGTGGTCCAAATATCCACTTGCAGATTCCACAAAAAGAGTGTTTGAAAGCTGAACTATGAAAGCAAGGTTCAACTCTGTGAGTTGAATGCAAACATCACAAAGAAGTTTCTCACAATGCTTCCGTGTAGTTCTGGGAAGTTTATCCCGTTTCCAACGAAATCCTCAGAGAAGTCCAAATATCCACTTGCAGATTCTACAGAAAGTGTGCTTGGAAACTGCTCCATCTAAAGGAATGTTCAGCTCTGTTAGTTCAATCCAATGATCACTAAGAATTGTCTGTGAATGCTTCCGTTTGGTTTTTAGATGAAGTTATTTCCTTTACTACAGTAGGCCTCAAAGCAGTCCAAATCTCCAATCGCAGATTCTACAAAAAGATTGTTTACAACCTGCTCTATCTATAGGAATGTTCAACTCTGTGAGTCGAATGCAATCATCACAAAGTAGTTTCTGAGAATGCTTCCATCTAGTTTTTATGTGAAGATTTTCCTTTTCCACCACAGGCCTCAAAGCCCTCCAAATGTCCACTTGCAGATTCTAGAATAAGAGGGTTTCAGAGCTGCTCTGTCAAGAGGAAAGTTCAATTCCTGAAGTGGAACACAAACATCACAAAGCAGTTTCTGAGAATGCTTCTGTTTAGTTTTTCTGTGAAGATGAACCCGTTTCCAATGAAATCTTCACAGAGGTCCACATATCAACTTGCAGAATCCAAAGAAAGAGAGTTTCAAAACTGCTCCATCAACAGGATTGTTCACCTCTGTGAGTTGAATGCAGTCATCACAGGAAACATTCTGAGAATGCTTCTGTCTAGGTTTGATGTGAAGATATACCCGTTTCGAAGGAAGGCCACAAAGTGGTCCAAATATCCACTTGCAGATTCTACAAAAAGAGTGTTTGAAAGCTGAACTATGAAAGCAAGGTTCAACTCTGTGAGTTGAATGCAAACATCACAAAGAAGTTTCTCACAATGCTTCCGTGTAGTTCTGGGAAGTTTATCCCGTTTCCAACGAAATCCTCAGAGAAGTCCAAATATCCACTTGCAGATTCTACAGAAAGTGTGTTTGGAAACTGCGCCATCTAAAGGAATGTTCAGCTCTGTTAGTTCAATGCAATGATCACTAAGAATTGTCTGTGAATGCTTCCGTTTGGTTTTTAGATGAAGTTATTTCCTTTACTACAGTAGGCCTCAAAGCAGTCCAAATCTCCAATCGCAGATTCTACAAAAAGATTGTTTACAACCTGCTCTATCTATAGGAATGTTCAACTCTGTGAGTCGAATGCAATCATCACAAAGTAGTTTCTGAGAATGCTTCCATCTAGTTTTTATGTGAAGATTTTCCTTTTCCACCACAGGCCTCAAAGCCCTCCAAATGTCCACTTGCAGATTCTAGAAAAAGAGGGTTTCAGAGCTGCTCTGTCAAGAGGAAAGTTCAATTCTTGAAGTGGAACACAAACATCACAAAGTAGTTTCTGAGAATGCTTCTGTTTAGTTTTTCTGTGAAGATGAACCCGTTTCCAACGAAATCTTCACAGAGGTCCACATATCAACTTGCAGAATCCAAAGAAAGAGAGTTTCAAAAGTGCTCCATCAACAGGATTGTTCACCTCTGTGAGTTGAATGCAGTCATCACAGGAAACATTCTGAGAATGCTTCTGTCTAGGTTTGATGTGAAGATATACCCGTTTCGAAGGAAGGCCACAAAGTGGTCCAAATATCCACTTGCAGATTCTACAAAAAGAGTGTTTGAAAGCTGAACTATGAAAACAAGGTTCAACTCTGTGAGTTGAATGCAAACATCACAAAGAAGTTTCTCACAATGCTTCCGTGTAGTTCTGGGAAGTTTATCCCGTTTCCAACGAAATCCTCAGAGAGGTCCAAATATCCACTTGCAGATTCTACAGAAAGTGTGTTGGGAAACTGCTCCATCTAAAGGAATGTTCAGCTCTGTTAGTTCAATCCAATGATCACTAAGAATTGTCTGTGAATGTTTCCGTTTGGTTTTTAGATGAAGTTATTTCCTTTACTACAGTAGGCCTCAAAGCAGTCCAAATCTCCAATCGCAGATTCTACAAAAAGATTGTTTTCAACCTGCTCTATCTATAGGAATGTTCAACTCTGTGAGTCGAATGCAATCATCACAAAGTAGTTTCTGAGAATGCTTCCATCTAGTTTTTATGTGAAGATTTTCCTTTTCCACCACAGGCCTCAAAGCCCTCCAAATGTCCACTTGCAGATTCTAGAAAAAGAGGGTTTCAGAGCTGCTCTTTCAAGAGGAAAGTTCAATTCCTGATGTGGAACACAAACATCACAAAGCAGTTTCTGAGAATGCTTCTGTTTAGTTTTTCTGTGAAGATGAACCCGTTTCCAACGAAATCTTCACAGAGGTCCACATATCCACTTGCAGAATCCAAAGAAAGAGAGTTTCAAAACTGCTCCATCAGCAGGATTGTTCACCTCTGTGAGTTGAATGCAGTCATCACAGGAAACATTCTGAGAATGCTTCTGTCTAGGTTTGATGTGAAGATAAACCCGTTTCGAAGGAAGGCCACAAAGTGGTCCAAATATCCACTTGCAGATTCTACAAAAAGAGTGTTTGAAAGCTGAACTATGAAAGCAAGGTTCAACTCTGTGAGTTGAATGCAAACATCACAAAGAAGTTTCTCATAATGCTTCCGTGTAGTTCTGGGAAGTTTATCCCGTTTCCAACGAAATCCTCAGAGAAGTCCAAATATCCACTTGCAGATTCTACAGAAAGTGGGTTTGGAAACTGCTCCATCTAAAGGAATGTTCAGCTCTGTTAGTTCAATCCAATGATCACTAAGAATTGTCTGTGAATGCTTCCGTTTGGTTTTTAGATGAAGTTATTTCCTTTACTACAGTAGGCCTCAAAGCAGTCCAAATCTCCAATCGCAGATTCTACAAAAAGATTGTTTACAACCTGCTCTATGTATAGGAATGTTCAACTCTGTGAGTCGAATGCAATCATCACAAAGTAGTTTCTGAGAATGCTTCCATCTAGTTTTTATGGGAAGATTTTCCTTTTCCACCACAGGCCTCAAAGCCCTCCAAATGTCCACTTGCAGATTCTAGAAAAAGAGGGTTTCAGAGCTGCTCTGTCAAGAGGAAAGTTCAATTCTTGAAGTGGAACACAAACATCACAAAGCAGTTTCTGAGAATGCTTCTGTTTAGTTTTTCTGTGAAGATGAACCCGTTTCCAACGAAATCTTCACAGAGGTCCACATATCCACTTGCAGAATCCAAAGAAAGAGAGTTTCAAAACTGCTCCATCAGCAGGATTGTTCACCTCTGTGAGTTGAATGCAGTCATCACAGGAAACATTCTGAGAATGCTTCTGTCTAGGTTTGATGTGAAGATATACCCGTTTCGAAGGAAGGCCACAAAGTGGTCCAAATATCCACTTGCAGATTCTACAAAAAGAGTGTTTGAAAGCTGAACTATGAAAGCAAGGTTCAACTCTGTGAGTTGAATGCAAACATCACAAAGATGTTTCTCACAATGCTTCCGTGTAGTTCTGGGAAGTTTATCCCGTTTCCAACGAAATCCTCAGAGAGGTCCAAATATCCACTTGCAGATTCTACAGAAAGTGTGTTTGGAAACTGCTCCACCTAAGGGAATGTTCAGCTCTGTTAGTTCAATCCAATGATCACTAAGAATTGTCTGTGAATGCTTCCGTTTGGTTTTTAGATGAAGTAATTTCCTTTACTACAGTAGGCCTCAAAGCAGTCCAAATCTCCAATCGCAGATTCTACAAAAAGATTGTTTACAACCTGCTCTATCTATAGGAATGTTCAACTCTGTGAGTCGAATGCAATCATCACAAAGAAGTTTCTGAGAATGCTTCCATAAAGTTTTTATGTGAAGATTTTCCTTTTCCACCACAGGCCTCAAAGCCCTCCAAATGTCCACTTGCAGATTCTAGAAAAAGAGGGTTTCAGAGCTGCTCTGTCAAGAGGAAAGTTCAATTCTTTAAGTGGAACACAAACATCACAAAGCAGTTTCTGAGAATGCTCCTGTTTAGTTTTTCTGTGAAGATGAACCCGTTTCCAACGAAATCTTCACAGAGGTCCACATATCCACTTGCAGAATCCAAAGAAAGAGAGTTTCAAAACTGCTCCATCAGCAGGATTGTTCACCTCTGTGAGTTGAATGCAGTCATCACAGGAAACATTCTGAGAATGCTTCTGTCTAGGTTTGATGTGAAGATATACCCGTTTCGAAGGAAGGCCACAAAGTGGTCCAAATATCCACTTGCAGATTCTACAAAAAGAGTGTTTGAAAGCTGAACTATGAAAGCAAGGTTCAACTCTGTGAGTTGAATGCAAACATCACAAAGAAGTTTCTCAGAATGCTTCCGTGTAGTTCTGGGAAGTTTATCCCGTTTCCAACGAAATCCTCAGAGAAGTCCAAATATCCACTTGCAGATTCTACAGAAAGTGTGTTTGGAAACTGCGCCATCTAAAGGAATGTTCAGCTCTGTTAGTTCAATGCAATGATCACTAAGAATTGTCTGTGAATGCTTCCGTTTGGTTTTTAGATGAAGTTATTCCCTTTACTACTGTAGGCCTCAAAGCAGTCCAAATCTCCAATCGCAGATTCTACAAAAAGATTGTTTACAACCTGCTCTATCTATAGGAATGTTCAACTCTGTGAGTCGAATGCAATCATCACAAAGTAGTTTCTGAGAATGCTTCCATCTAGTTTTTATGTGAAGATTTTCCTTTTCCACCACAGGCCTCAAAGCCCTCCAAATGTCCACTTGCAGACTCTAGAAAAAGAGGGTTTCAGAGCTGCTCTGTCAAGAGGAAAGTTCAATTCTTGAAGTGGAACACAAACATCACAAAGCAGTTTCTGAGAATGCTCCTGTTTAGTTTTTCTGTGAAGATGAACCCGTTTCCAACGAAATCTTCACAGAGGTCCACATATCCACTTGCAGAATCCAAAGAAAGAGAGTTTCAAAACTGCTCCATCAGCAGGATTGTTCACCTCTGTGAGTTGAATGCAGTCATCACAGGAAACATTCTGAGAATGCTTCTGTCTAGGTTTGATGTGAAGATATACCCGTTTCGAAGGAAGGCCACAAAGTGGTCCAAATATCCACTTGCAGATTCTACAAAAAGAGTGTTTGAAAGCTGAACTATGAAAGCAAGGTTCAACTCTGTGAGTTGAATGCAAACATCACAAAGAAGTTTCTCACAATGCTTCCGTGTAGTTCTGGGAAGTTTATCCCGTTTCCAACGAAATCCTCAGAGAGGTCCAAATATCCACTTGCAGATTCTACAGAAAGTGTGTTTGGAAACTGCGCCATCTAAAGGAATGTTCAGCTCTGTTAGTTCAATCCAATGATCACTAAGAATTGTCTGTGAATGCTTCCGTTTGGTTTTTAGATGAAGTTATTTCCTTTACTACAGTAGGCCTCAAAGCAGTCCAAATCTCCAATCGCAGATTCTACAAAAAGATTGTTTACAACCTGCTCTATCTATAGGAATGTTCAACTCTGTGAGTCGAATGCAATCATCACAAAGTAGTTTCTGAGAATGCTTCCATCTAGTTTTTATGTGAAGATTTTCCTTTTCCACCACAGGCCTCAAAGCCCTCCAAATGTCCACTTGCAGATTCTAGAAAAAGAGGGTTTCAGAGCTGCTCTATCAAGAGGAAAGTTCAATTCCTGAAGTGGAACACAAACATCACAAAGCAGTTTCTGAGAATGCTCCTGTTTAGTTTTTCTGTGAAGATGAACCCGTTTCCAACGAAATCTTCACAGAGGTCCACATATCCACTTGCAGAATCCAAAGAAAGAGAGTTTCAAAACTGCTCCAACAGCAGGATTGTTCACCTCTGTGAGTTGAATGCAGTAATCACCGGAAACATTCGGAGAATGCTTCTGTCTAGGTTTGATGTGAAGATATACCCGTTTCGAAGGAAGGCCACAAAGTGGTCCAAATATCCACTTGCAGATTCTACAAAAAGAGTGTTTGAAAGCTGAACTATGAAAGCAAGGTTCAACTCTGTGAGTTGAATGCAAACATCACAAAGAAGTTTCTCACAATGCTTCCGTGTAGTTCTGGGTAAGTTTATCCCGTTTCCAACGAAATCCTCAGAGAAGTCCACATATCCACTTGCAGATTCTACAGAAAGTGTGTTTGGAAACTGCTCCATCTAAAGGAATGTTCAGCTCTGTTAGTTCAATGCAATGATCACTAAGAATTGTCTGTGAATGCTTCCATTTTGGTTTTTAGATGAAGTTATTTCCTTTACTACAGTAGGCCTCAAAGCAGTCCAAATCTCCAATCGCAGATTCTACAAAAAGATTGTTTACAACCTGCTCTATCTATAGGAATGTTCAACTCTGTGAGTCGAATGCAATCATCACAAAGTAGTTTCTGAGAATGCTTCCATCTAGTTTTTATGTGAAGATTTTCCTTTTCCACCACAGGCCTCAAAGCCCTCCAAATGTCCACTTGCAGATTCTAGAAAAAGAGGCTTTCAGAGCTGCTCTGTCAAGAGGAAAGTTCAATTCTTGAAGTGGAACACAAACATCACAAAGCAGTTTCTGAGAATGCTTCTGTTTAGTTTTTCTGTGAAGATGAACCCGTTTCCAACGAAATCTTCACAGAGGTCCACATATCCACTTGCAGAATCCAAAGAAAGAGAGTTTCAAAACTGCTCCATCAGCAGGATTGTTCACCTCTGTGAGTTGAATGCAGTCATCACAGGAAACATTCTGAGAATGCTTCTGTCTAGGTTTGATGTGAAGATATACCCGTTTCGAAGGAAGGCCACAAAGTGGTCCAAATATCCACTTGCAGATTCTACAAAAAGAGTGTTTGAAAGCTGAACTATGAAAGCAAGGTTCAACTCTGTGAGTTGAATGCAAACATCACAAAGAAGTTTCTCAGAATGCTTCCCATGTAGTTCTGGGAAGTTTAGCCCGTTTCCAACGAAATCCTTAGAGAAGTCCAAATATCCACTTGCAGATTCTGCAGAAAGTGTGTTTGGAAACTGCTCTATCTAATGGAATGTTCAGCTCTGTGAGTTCAATCCAATGATCACTAAGAATTGTCTGTGAATGCTTCCGTTTGGTTTTTAGATGAAGTTATTTCCTTTACTACAGTAGGCCTCAAAGCAGTCCAAATCTCCAATCGCAGATTCTACAAAAAGGTTGTTTACAACCTGCTCTATCTATAGGAATGTTCAACTCTGTGAGTCGAATGCAATCATCACAAAGTAGTTTCTGAGAATGCTTCCATCTAGTTTTTATGTGAAGATTTTCCTTTTCCACCACAGGCCTCAAAGCCCTCTAAATGTCCACTTACAGATTCTAGAAAAAGAGGGTTTCAGAGCTGCTCTGTCAAGAGGAAAGTTCAATTCTTGAAGTGGAACACAAGCATCACAAAGCAGTTTCTGAGAATGCTCCTGTTTAGTTTTTCTGTGAAGATGAACCCGTTTCCAACGAAATCTTCACATAGATCCACATATCCACTTGCAGAATCCTAAGAAAGAGAGTTTCAAAACTGCTCCATCAACAGGATTGTTCACCTCTGTGAGTTGAATGTAGTCATCACAGGAAACATTCTGAGAATGCTTCTGTCTAGGTTTGATGTGAAGATATACCCGTTTCGAAGGAAGGCCACAAAGTGGTCCAAATATCCACTTGCAGATTCTACAAAAAGAGTGTTTGAAAGCTGAACTATGAAAGCAAGGTTCAACTCTGTGAGTTGAATGCAAACATCACAAAGAAGTTTCTCAGAATACTTCCGTGTAGTTCTGGGAAGTTTATCCCGTTTCCAACGAAATCCTCAGAGAGGTCCAAATATCCACTTGCAGATTCTACAGAAAGTGTGTTTGGAAACTGCGCCATCTAAGGGAATGTTCAGCTCTGTTAGTTCAATCCAATGATCACTAAGAATTGTCTGTGAATGCTTCCGTTTGGTTTTTAGATGAAGTTATTTCCTTTACTACAGTAGGCCTCAAAGCAGTCCAAATCTCCAATCGCAGATTCTACAAAAAGATTGTTTACAACCTGCTCTATCTATAGGAATGTTCAACTCTGTGAGTCGAATGCAATCATCACAAAGTAGTTTCTGAGAATGCTTCCATCTAGTTTTTATGTGAAGATTTTCCTTTTCCACCACAGGCCTCAAAGCCCTCCAAATGTCCACTTGCAGATTCTAGAAAAAGAGGGTTTCAGAGCTGCTCTGTCAAGAGGAAAGTTCAATTCTTGAAGTGGAACACAAACATCACAAAGTAGTTTCTGAGAATGCTTCTGTTTAGTTTTTCTGTGAAGATGAACCCGTTTCCAACGAAATCTTCACAGAGGTCCACATATCAACTTGCAGAATCCAAAGAAAGAGAGTTTCAAAAGTGCTCCATCAACAGGATTGTTCACCTCTGTGAGTTGAATGCAGTCATCACAGGAAACATTACTGAGAATTCTTCTGTCTAGGTTTGATGTGAAGATATACCCGTTTCGAAGGAAGGCCACAAAGTGGTCCAAATATCCACTTGCAGATTCTACAAAAAGAGTGTTTGAAAGCTGAACTATGAAAGCAAGGTTCAACTCTGTGAGTTGAATGCAAACATCACAAAGAAGTTTCTCAGAATGCTTCCGTGTAGTTCTGGGAAGTTTATCCCGTTTCCAACGAAATCCTCAGAGAAGTCCAAATATCCACTTGCAGATTCTACAGAAAGTGTGTTTGGAAACTGCTCCATCTAAAGGAATGTTCAGCTCTGTTAGTTCATTCCAATGATCACTAAGAATTGTCTGTGAATGCTTCCGTTTGGTTTTTAGATGCAGTTATTTCCTTTACTACAGTAGGCCTCAAAGCAGTCCAAATCTCCAATCGCAGATTCTAGAAAACGATTGTTTACAACCTGCTCTATCTATAGGAATGTTCAACTCTGTGAGTCAAATGCAATCATCAAAAAGTAGTTTGCTGAGAATGCTTCCGTGTAGTTTTTATGTGAAGATTTTCCTTTTCCACCACAGGCCTCAAAGCCCTCCAAATGTCCACTTGCAGATTCTAGAAAAAGAGGGTTTCAGAGCTGCTCTGTCAAGAGGAAAGTTCAATTCCTGAAGTGGAACACAAACATCACAAAGCAGTTTCTGAGAATGCTCCTGTTTAATTTTTCTGTGAAGATGAACCCGTTTCCAACGAAATCTTCACAGAGGTCCACATATCAACTTGCAGAATCCAAAGAAAGAGAGTTTCAAAACTGCTCCATCAGCAGGATTGTTCACCTCTGTGAGTTGAATGCAGTCATCACAGGAAACATTCTGAGAATGCTTCTGTCTAGGTTTGATGTGAAGATATACCCGTTTCGAAGGAAGGCCACAAAGTGGTCCAAATATCCACTTGCAGATTCTACAAAAAGAGTGTTTGAAAGCTGAACTATGAAAGCAAGGTTCAACTCTGTGAGTTGAATGCAAACATCACAAAGAAGTTTCTCACAATGCTTCCGTGTAGTTCTGGGAAGTTTTTCCCGTTTCCAACGAAATCCTCAGAGAGGTCCAAATATCCACTTGCAGATTCTACAGAAAGTGTGTTTGGAAACTGCGCCATCTAAAGGAATGTTCAGCTCTGTTAGTTCAATCCAATGATCACTAAGAATTGTCTGTGAATCCTTCCGTTTGGTTTTTAGATGAAGTTATTTCCTTTACTACAGTAGGCCTCAAAGCAGTCCAAATCTCCAATCGCAGATTCTACAAAAAGATTGTTTTCAACCTGCTCTATCTATAGGAATGTTCAACTCTGTGAGTCGAATGCAATCATCACAAAGTAGTTTCTGAGAATGCTTCCATCTAGTTTTTATGTGAAGATTTTCCTTTTCCACCACAGGCCTCAAAGCCCTCCAAATGTCCACTTGCAGATTCTAGAAAAAGAGGGTTTCAGAGCTGCTCTGTCAAGAGGAAAGTTCAATTCTTGAAGTGGAACACAATCATCACAAAGCAGTTTCTGAGAATGCTTCTGTTTAGTTTTTCTGTGAAGATGAACCCGTTTCCAACGAAATCTTCACAGAGGTCCACATATCCACTTGCAGAATCCAAAGAAAGAGAGTTTCAAAACTGCTCCATCAGCAGGATTGTTCACCTCTGTGAGTTGAATGCAGTCATCACAGGAAACATTCTGAGAATGCTTCTGTCTAGGTTTGATGTGAAGATATACCCGTTTCGAAGGAAGGCCACAAAGTGGTCCAAATATCCACTTGCAGATTCTACAAAAAGAGTGTTTGAAAGCTGAACTATGAAAGCAAGGTTCAACTCTGTGAGTTGAATGCAAACATCACAAAGAAGTTTCTCACAATGCTTCCGTGTAGTTCTGGGAAGTTTATCCCGTTTCCAACGAAATCCTCAGAGAAGTCCAAATATCCACTTGCAGATTCTACAGAAAGTGTGTTTGGAAACTGCGCCATCTAAAGGAATGTTCAGCTCTGTTAGTTCAATGCAATGATCACTAAGAATTGTCTGTGAATGCTTCCGTTTGGTTTTTAGATGAAGTTATTTCCTTTACTACAGTAGGCCTCAAAGCAGTCCAAATCTCCAATCGCAGATTCTACAAAAAGATTGTTTACAACCTGCTCTATCTATAGGAATGTTCAACTCTGTGAGTCGAATGCAATCATCACAAAGTAGTTTCTGAGAATGCTTCCATCTAGTTTTTATGTGAAGATTTTCCTTTTCCACCACAGGCCTCAAAGCCCTCCAAATGTCCACTTGCAGATTCTAGAATAAGAGGGTTTCAGAGCTGCTCTGTCAAGAGGAAAGTTCAATTCCTGAAGTGGAACACAAACTTCACAAAGCAGTTTCTGAGAATGTTTCTTTTTAGTTTTTCTGGGAAGATGAACCCGTTTCCAACCAAATCTTCACAGAGGTCCACATATCCACTTGCAGAATCCAAAGAAAGAGAGTTTCAAAACTGCTCCATCAGCAGGATTGTTCACCTCTGTCAGTTGAATGCAGTCATCACAGGAAACATTCTGAGAATGCTTCTGTCTAGGTTTGATGTGAAGATATACCCGTTTCGAAGGAAGGCCACAAAGTGGTCCAAATATCCACTTTCTGTAGATTCTACAAAAAGAGTGTTTGAAAGCTGAACTATGAAAGCAAGGTTCAACTCTGTGAGTTGAATGCAAACATCACAAAGAAGTTTCTCAGAATGCTTCCGTGTAGTTCTGGGAAGTTTATCCCGTTTCCAACGAAATCCTCAGAGAAGTCCAAATATCCACTTGAATATTCTACAGAAAGTGGGTTTGGAAACTGCTCCATCTAAAGGAATGTTCAGCTCTGTTAGTTCAATCCAATGATCACTAAGAATTTTCTGTGAATGCTTCCGTTTGGTTTTTAGATGAAGTTATTTCCTTTACTACAGTAGGCCTCAAAGCAGTCCAAATCTCCAATCGCAGATTCTACAAAAAGATTGTTTACAACCTGCTCTATCTATAGGAATGTTCAACTATGTGAGTCGAATGCAATCATCACAAAGTAGTTTCTGAGAATGCTTCCATCTAGTTTTTATGTGAAGATTTTCCTTTTCCACCACAGGCCTCAAAGCCCTCCAAATGTCCACTTGCAGATTCTAGAAAAAGAGGGTTTCAGAGCTGCTCTGTCAAGAGGAAAGTTCAATTCTTGAAGTGGAACACAAACATCACAAAGCAGTTTCTGGGAATGCTCCTGTTTAGTTTTTCTGTGAAGATGAACCCGTTTCCAACGAAATCTTCACAGAGGTCCACATATCCACTTGCAGAGTCCAAAGAAAGAGAGTTTCAAAACTGCTCCATCAGAAGGATTGTTCACCACTGTGAGTTGAATGCAGTCATCACAGGAAACATTCTGAGAATGCTTCTGTCTAGGTTTGATGTGAAGATATACCCGTTTCGAAGGAAGGCCACAAAGTGGTCCAAATATCCACTTGCAGATTCTACAAAAAGAGTGTTTGAAAGCTGAACTATGAAAGCAAGGTTCAACTCTGTGAGTTGAATGCAAACATCACAAAGAAGTTTCTCACAATGCTTCCGTGTAGTTCTGGGAAGTTTATCCCGTTTCCAACGAAATCCTCAGAGAAGTCCAAATATCCACTTGCAGATTCTACAGAAAGTGGGTTTGGAAACTGCTCCATCTAAAGGAATGTTCAGCTCTGTTAGTTCAATCCAATGATCACTAAGAATTGTCTGTGAATGCTTCCGTTTCGTTTTTAGATGAAGTTATTTCCTTTTCTACAGTAGGCCTCAAAGCAGTCCAAATCTCCAATCGCAGATTGTACAAAAAGATTGTTTACAACCTGCTCTATCTATAGGAATGTTCAACTCTGTGAGTCGAATGCAATCATCACAAAGTAGTTTCTGAGAATGCTTCCATCTAGTTTTTATGTGAAGATTTTCCTTTTCCACCACAGGCCTCAAAGCCCTCCAAATGTCCACTTGCAGATTCTAGAAAAAGAGGGTTTCAGAGCTGCTCTGTCAAGAGGAAAGTTCAATTCTTGAAGTGGAACACAAACATCACAAAGCAGTTTCTGAGAATGCTTCTGTTTAGTTTTTCTGTGAAGATGAACCCGTTTCCAACGAAATCTTCACAGAGGTCCACATATCCACTTGCAGAATCCAAAGAAAGAGAGTTTCAAAACTGCTCCATCAGCAGGATTGTTCACCTCTGTGAGTTGAATGCAGTCATCACAGGAAACATTCTGAGAATGCTTCTGTCTAGGTTTGATGTGAAGATATACGCGTTTCGAAGGAAGGCCACAAAGTGGTCCAAATATCCACTTGCAGATTCTACAAAAAGAGTGTTTGAAAGCTGAACTATGAAAGCAAGGTTCAACTCTGTGAGTTGAATGCAAACTTCACAAAGAAGTTTCTCAGAATGCTTCCGTGTAGTTCTGGGAAGTTTATCCCGTTTCCAACGAAATCCTCAGAGAGGTCCAAATATCCACTTGCAGATTCTACAGAAAGTGTGTTTGGAAACTGCGCCATCTAAGGGAATGTTCAGCTCTGTTAGTTCAATCCAATGATCACTAAGAATTGTCTGTGAATGCTTCCGTTTGGTTTTTAGAAGAAGTTATTTCCTTTACTACAGTAGGCCTCAAAGCAGTCCAAATCTCCAATCGCAGATTCTACAAAAAGATTGTTTACAACCTGCTCTATCTATAGGAATGTTCAACTCTGTCAGTCGAATGCAATCATCACAAAGTAGTTTCTGAGAATGCTTCCATCTAGTTTTTATGTGAAGATTTTCCTTTTCCACCACAGGCCTCAAAGCCCTCCAAATGTCCACTTGCAGATTCTAGAATAAGAGGGTTTCAGAGCTGCTCTGTCAAGAGGAAAGTTCAATTCCTGAAGTGGACCACAAACATCACAAAGCAGTTTCTGAGAATGCTTCTGTTTAGTTTCTCTGTGAAGATGAACCCGTTTCCAACGAAATCTTTACAGAGGTCCACATATCCACTTGCAGAATCCAAAGAAAGAGAGTTTCAAAACTGCTCCATCAGCAGGATTGTTCACCTCTGTGAGTTGAATGCAGTCATCACAGGAAACATTCTGAGAATGCTTCTGTCTAGGTTTGATGTGAAGATATACCCGTTTCGAAGGAAGGCCACAAAGTGGTCCAAATATCCACTTGCAGATTCTACAAAAAGAGTGTTTGAAAGCTGAACTATGAAAGCAAGGTTCAACTCTGTGAGTTGAATGCAAACATCACAAAGAAGTTTCTCAGAATGCTTCCGTGTAGTTCTGGGAAGTTTATCCCGTTTCCAACGAAATCCTCAGAGAGGTCCAAATATCCACTTGCAGATTCTACAGAAAGTGTGTTTGGAAACTGCTCCATCTAAAGGAATGTTCAGCTCTGTTAGTTCAATGCAATGATCACTAAGAATTGTCTGTGAATGCTTCCGTTTGGTTTTTAGATGAAGTTATTTCCTTTACTACAGTAGGCCTCAAAGCAGTCCAAATCTCCAATCGCAGATTCTACAAAAAGATTGTTTACAACCTGCTCTATCTATAGGAATGTTCAACTCTGTGAGTCGAATGCAATCATCACAAAGTAGTTTCTGAGAATGCTTCCATCTAGTTTTTATGTGAAGATTTTCCTTTTCCACCACAGGCCTCAAAGCCCTCCAAATGTCCACTTGCAGATTCTAGAATAAGAGGGTTTTAGAGCTGCTCTGTCAAGAGGAAAGTTCAATTCCTGAAGTGGAACACAAACATCACAAAGCAGTTTCTGAGAATGCTCCTGTTTAGTTTTTCTGTGAAGATGAACCCGTTTCCAACGAAATGTTCACAGAGGTCCACATATCCACTTGCAGAATCCAAAGAAAGAGAGTTTCAAAACTGCTCCATCAACAGGATTGTTCACCTCTGTAAGTTGAATGCAGTCATCACAGAAAACATTCTGAGAATGCTTCTGTCTAGGTTTGATGTGAAGATATACCCGTTTCGAAGGAAGGCCACAAAGTGGTCCAAATATCCACTTGCAGATTCTACAAAAAGAGTGTTTGAAAGCTGAACTATGAAAGCAAGGTTCAACTCTGTGAGTTGAATGCAAACATCACAAAGAAGTTTCTCAGAATGCTTCCGTGTAGTTCTGGGAAGTTTATCCCGTTTCCAACGAAATCCTCAGAGAGGTCCAAATATCCACTTGCAGATTCTACAGAAAGTGTGTTTGGAAACTGCGCCATCTAAAGGAATGTTCAGCTCTGTTAGTTCAATCCAATGATCACTAAGAATTGTCTGTGAATGCTTCCGTTTGGTTTTTAGATGAAGTTATTGCCTTTACTACCGTAGGCCTCAAAGCAGTCCAAATCTGCAATCGCAGATTCTACAGAAAGTTTGTTTACAACCTGCTCTATCTATAGGAATGTTCAACTCTGTGAGTCGAATGCAATCATCACAAAGTAGTTTCTGAGAATGCTTCCATCTAGTTTTTATGTGAAGATTTTCCTTTTCCACCACAGGCCTCAAAGCCCTCCAAATGTCCACTTGCAGATTCTAGAATAAGAGGGTTTCAGAGCTGCTCTGTCAAGAGGAAAGTTCAATTCCTGAAGTGGAACACAAACATCACAAAGCAGTTTCTGAGAATGCTTCTGTTTAGTTTTTCTGTGAAGATGAACCCGTTTCCAACGAAATCTTCACAGAGGTCCACATATCCACTTGCAGAATCCAAAGAAAGAGAGTTTCAAAAGTGCTCCATCAGCAGGATTGTTCACCTCTGTGAGTTGAATGCAGTCATCACAGGAAACATTCTGAGAATGCTTCTGTCTAGGTTTGATGTGAAGATATACCCGTTTCGAAGGAAGGCCACAAAGTGGTCCAAATATCCACTTGCAGATTCTACAAAAAGAGTGTTTGAAAGCTGAACTATGAAAGCAAGGTTCAACTCTGTGAGTTGAATGCAAACATCACAAAGAAGTTTCTCAGAATGCTTCCGTGTAGTTCTGGGAAGTTTATCCCGTTTCCAACGAAATCCTCAGAGAGGTCCAAATATCCACTTGCAGATTCTACAGAAAGTGTGTTTGGAAACTGCGCCATCTAAAGGAATGTTCAGCTCTGTTAGTTCAATGCAATGATCACTAAGAATTGTCTGTGAATGCTTCCGTTTGGTTTTTAGGTGAAGTTATTTCCTTTACTACAGTAGGCCTCAAAGCAGTCCAAATCTCCAATCGCAGATTCTACAAAAAGATTGTTTACAACCTTCTCTATCTATAGGAATGTTCAACTCTGTGAGTCGAATGCAATCATCACAAAGTAGTTTCTGAGAATGCTTCCATCTAGTTTTTATGTGAAGATTTTCCATTTCCACCACAGGCCTCAAAGCCCTCCAAATGTCCACTTGCAGATTCTAGAAAAAGAGGGTTTCAGAGCTGCTCTGTCAAGAGGAAAGTTCAATTCTTGAAGTGGAACACAAACATCACAAAGCAGTTTCTGAGAATGCTCCTGTTTAGTTTTTCTGTGAAGATGAACACGTTTCCAACGAAATCTTCACAGAGGTCCACATATCCACTTGCAGAATCCAAAGAAAGAGAGTTTCAAAACTGCTCCATCAGCAGGATTGTTCACCTCTGTGAGTTGAATGCAGTCATCACAGGAAACATTCTGAGAATGCTTCTGTCTAGGTTTGATGTGAAGATATACCCGTTTCGAAGGAAGGCCACAAAGTGGTCCATTATCCACTTGCAGATTCCACAAAAAGAGTGTTTGAAAGCTGAACTATGAAAGCAAGGTTCAACTCTGTGAGTTGAATGCAAACATCACAGAGAAGTTTCTCACAATGCTTCCGTGTAGTTCTGGGAAGTTTATCCCGTTTCCAACGAAATCCTCAGAGAAGTCCAAATATCCACTTGCAGATTCTACAGAAAGTGTGTTTGGAAACTGCGCCATCTAAAGGAATGTTCAGCTCTGTTAGTTCAATCCAATGATCACTAAGAATTGTCTGTGAATGCTTCCGTTTGGTTTTTAGATGAAGTTATTTCCTTTACTACAGTAGGCCTCAAAGCAGTCCAAATCTCCAATCGCAGATTCTACAAAAAGATTGTTTACAACCTGCTCTATCTATAGGAATGTTCAACTCTGTGAGTCGAATGCAATCATCACAAAGTAGTTTCTGAGAATGCTTCCATCTAGTTTTTATGTGAAGATTTTCCTTTTCCACCACAGGCCTCAAAGCCCTCCAAATGTCCACTTGCAGATTCTAGAATAAGAGGGTTTCAGAGCTGCTCTGTCAAGAGGAAATTTCAATTCCTGAAGTGGAACACAAACATCACAAAGCAGTTTCTGAGAATGCTTCTGTTTAGTTTTTCTGTGAAGATGAACCCGTTTCCAACGAAATCTTCACAGAGGTCCACATATCCACTTGCAGAATCCAAAGAAAGAGAGTTTCAAAACTGCTCCATCAGCAGGATTGTTCACCTCTGTGAGTTGAATGCAGTCATCACAGGAAACATTCTGAGAATGCTTCTGTCTAGGTTTGATGTGAAGATATACCCGTTTCGAAGGAAGGCCACAAAGTGGTCCAAATATCCACTTGCAGATTCTACAAAAAGAGTGTTTGAAAGCTGAACTATGAAAGCAAGGTTCAACTCTGTGAGTTGAATGCAAACATCACAAAGAAGTTTCTCACAATGCTTCCGTGTAGTTCTGAGAAGTTTATCCCGTTTCCAACGAAATCCTCAGAGAAGTCCAAATATCCACTTGCAGATTCTACAGAAAGTGTGTTTGGAAACTGCTCCATCTAAAGGAATGTTCAGCTCTGTTAGTTCAGTGCAATGATCACTATGAATTTTCTGTGAATGCTTCCGTTTGGTTTTTAGATGAAGTTATTTCCTTTACTACAGTAGGCCTCAAAGCAGTCCAAATCTCCAATCGCAGATTCTACAAAAAGATTGTTTACAACCTGCTCTATCTATAGGAATGTTCAACTCTGTGAGTCGAATGCAATCATCACAAAGTAGTTTCTGAGAATGCTTCCATCTAGTTTTTATGTGAAGATTTTCGTTTTCCACCACAGGCCTCAAAGCCCTCCAAATGTCCACTTGCAGATTCTAGAATAAGAGGGTTTCAGAGCTGCTCTGTCAAGAGGAAAGTTCAATTCCTGAAGTGGAACACAAACATCACAAAGCAGTTTCTGAGAATGCTTCTGTTTAGTTTTTCTGTGAAGATGAACCCGTTTCCAACGAAATCTTCACAGAGGTCCACATATCCACTTGCAGAATCCAAAGAAAGAGAGTTTCAAAACTGCTCCATCAGCAGGATTGTTCACCTCTGTGAGTTGAATGCAGTCATCACAGGAAACATTCTGAGAATGCTTCTGTCTAGGTTTGATGTGAAGATGTACCCGTTTCAAAGGAAGGCCACAAAGTGGTCCATATATCCACTTGCAGATTCCACAAAAAGAGTGTTTGAAAGCTGAACTATGAAAGCAAGGTTCAACTCTGTGAGTTGAATGCAAACATCACAAAGAAGTTTCTCAGAATGCTTCCGTGTAGTTCTGGGAAGTTTATCCCTTTTCCAACGAAATCCTCAGAGAGGTCCAAATATCCACTTGCAGATTCTACAGAAAGTGTGTTTGGAAACTACGCCATCTAAAGGAATGTTCAGCTCTGTTAGATCAATGCAATGATCACTAAGAATTGTCTGTGAATGCTTCCGTTTGGTTTTTAGATGAAGTTATTTCCTTTACTACAGTAGGCCTCAAAGCAGTCCAAATCTCCAATCGCAGATTCTACAAAAAGATTGTTTACAACCTGCTCTATCTATAGGAATGTTCAACTCTGTGAGTCGAATGCAATCATCACAAAGTAGTTTCTGAGAATGCTTCCATCTAGTTTTTATGTGAAGATTTTCCTTTTCCACCACAGGCCTCAAAGCCCTCCAAATGTCCACTTGCAGATTCTAGAAAAAGAGGGTTGCAGAGCTGCTCTGTCAAGATGAAAGTTCAATTCTTGAAGTGGAACACAAACATCACAAAGTAGTTTCTGAGAATGCTTCTGTTTAGTTTTTCTGTGAAGATGAACCCGTTTCCAACGAAATCTTCACAGAGGTCCTCATATCAACTTGCAGAATCCAAAGAAAGAGAGTTTCAAAAGTGCTCCATCAACAGGATTGTTCACCTCTGTGAGTTGAATGCAGTCATCACAGGAAACATTCTGAGAATGCTTCTGTCTAGGTTTGATGTGAAGATATACCCGTTTCGAAGGAAGGCCACAAAGTGGTCCAAATATCCACTTGCAGATTCTACAAAAAGAGTGTTTGAAAGCTGAACTATGAAAGCAAGGTTCAACTCTGTGAGTTGAATGCAAACATCACAAAGAAGTTTCTCACAATGCTTCCGTGTAGTTCTGGGAAGTTTATCCCGTTTCCAACGAAATCCTCAGAGAAGTCCAAATATCCACTTACAGATTCTACAGAAAGTGTGTTTGGAAACTGCTCCATCTAAAGGAATGTTCAGCTCTGTTAGTTCAATCCAATAGATCACTAAGAATTGTCTGTGAATGCTTCCGTTTGGTTTTTAGATGAAGTTATTTCCTTTACTACAGTAGGCCTCAAAGCAGTCCAAATCTCCAATCGCAGATTCTACAAAAAGATTGTTTACAACCTGCTCTATCTATAGGAATGTTCAACTCTGTGAGTCGAATGCAATCATCACAAAGTAGTTTCTGAGAATGCTTCCATCTAGTTTTTATGTGAAGATTTTCCTTTTCCACCACAGGCCTCAAAGCCCTCCAAATGTCCACTTGCAGATTCTAGAAAAAGAGGGTTTCAGAGCTGCTCTGTCAAGAGGAAAGTTCAATTCTTGAAGTGGAACACAAACATCACAAAGCAGTTTCTGAGAATGTT